>NC_000014.9:16133335-16140527 GCF_000001405.40 Homo sapiens | reverse complement strand
AGTGGATATTTGGAGTGCTTTGAGGCCTATTGTGGAAAAGGTAATATCTTCACATAAAAACTACAAATAAGCATTCTGAGAAACTTCTTTGTGATGTGTGAATTCAAGTCACAGAGTTTAACCTATCTTTTGATTGAGCAGTTTTGAATCTCTCTTTTTGTAGAATCTGCAAGTGGATATTTGGTGGGCTTTGAGGCCTATTTTGGAAAAGGAAACATCTTCACATAAAAACTACACAGAGGCATTCTGAGAAACTTCTTCATGATGTGTGCATTCATCTCACAGAGTTGAACCTATCTTATGATTGAGCAGATTTGAAACACTGGCTTTGTAGATGCTGCAAGTGGATATTTGGAGCGCTTGAGGCCTACTGTGGAAAAGGAAATATTTTCACATAAAAACCACACAGAAAAATTCTGACAAATTTCTTGGTGATGTGTGCATTCATCTCACAGAGTTGAAACTTTCCTTGTTATGAGCAGTTTTGCCACACTCTTTTGGAGAATTTAGAAGTGGATATTTGGAGCACTTTGAGGTCTATTGTGGAAAAAGAAATATCTTCACATAAACACTACAAAGAAGCATTCTGAGAAACTACTTTGTGATGTGTGTGTTAAACTCACAGAGGTGAACTTATCTTTTGATTGAGCAGATTTGAATATCTCTTTTTGTAGGAGCTGCAAGTGGGTATTTGGAGCCCTTTGAGGCCTATTGTGGAAAAGAAAATATCTTCACATAAAAACAACACAGATTCTTTCTGAGAAACTTCTTTGAAATGTATGCATTCATCTCACAGAGTTCAATTTTCTTTTGATTGAACAATTTTGAAACACTATTTTTGTAGAATCTGCAAGTAGATATTTGGAGTGCATTGAGGCCTAGGGAGGAAAAGGAAATATCTTCATATAAAAACTACACAGAAGCATTCTGAGAAATGTCTTTTGACGTGTGCATTCATCTCATAGAGCACTTTGAGGCCCATTGTGGAAAAGGAAATATCTTCACATAAAAACTACACAGAAGCATTCTGAGAAACTTGTTTGTGATGAGTGCATTCAGCTCACAGAGTTGAACCTATCTTTTGATTGAGCAATTTTGAAACTCTCTTTTTGTAGAATCTGCAAGTGGATATTTGGAGGCCTTTGCGGCCTATGGTGGAAAAGGAAATATCTTCACATAAAAACTACACAGAAGCATTCTGAGAAATGTCTTTTGACGTGTGCATTCATCTCATAGAGCACTTTGAGGCCCATTGTGGAAAAGGAAATATCTTCACATAAAAACTACACAGAAGCATTCTGAGAAAGTTCTGTGTGACTTGTGCATTCATCTCACAGAGTCGTAAATTTCTTTTGATTGAACAGTTGGAAACACTCTTTTAGTAAAATCTACAAGTGGATACTTGGAGCGTTTTGAGGCCTATTGTAGAAATGGAAATATCTTCACATAAAAACTAAACAGAAGCATTCTGAGAAACTTCTTTGAGATGTGTACATTGAACTCAGCGTTGTATCTATCTTTTGATAGAGGAGTTCTGAAACTCTCTTTATGTAGAATCTGCAAGGAATATTTGGAGCCCTTTGTGACCTATGGTGTAAAAGGAAATACCTTCACATAAAAACTACACAGAAGCATTCTGAGAAACTTCTTTGTGATATGTGCATTCTTCTCAAAGAGAAGAAACTTTAATTCGATTGAACAGTTTTGAAACACTCTTTTTGTAGAATCTGCAAGTGGATATTTGGAACACTTTGGAGAGAATGGTGGAAATGGAAATATCTTCATATAAAAACTATGGAGAAGCATTGTGAGAAACGTCTTTGTGATGTGTGCATTCAACTCACAGAGTTGAAGCTTTCTTTTGATTGAGCAGTTTTGAATCCCTCTTTTTGTAGAATCTGCAAGTGGATATTTGGAGCACTTTGGGGCCTCTGGTGAAATGAAATATCTTCACATAAAAACTATACAAAAGCACTCTGAAAAACTTCTTTGTGATGTGTGCATACAACTCACAGAGTTGAACCATTCTTTTGATTGTGCAGTTTTGAAACACTCTTTTTGTAGATTCTGCAAGTAGATACTCAGAGGGCTTTGTGGAGTATTGTGGAAAAGGAAATAACTTTGCATAAAAGCTAGACAGACGCATTCTGAGAAACTTCTTTGTGATGTGTGCTTTCAGCTCACAGAGTTGAACCTTTCTTTTGATTGAGCAGTTTAGAAACACTCTTTTTGTAGAATCTGCAAGTGGATATTTAGAGTGCTTTGATGACTATGGTGGAAAAGCAAATATCTTCACGTAACAACTAGACAGAAGCATTCTGAGAATCTTCTTTGTGATGTGTTCATTCACATCACAGAGTTTTAACTTTTTTTATTGAGGACTTTTGAAACACTCTTTTTGTAGAATCTGCAAGCGGGTGTTTGGAACATTTTGTGGCCTATAGTGGAAAAGGATGTATATTCACATAAAAACTAGACAGAAGCATTCTGAAAAACTACTTTTTGATGTGTGCATTCATCTCAAAGAGTTCAATCTTTCTTTTGATTGAGCAGTTTTGAAACACTCTTTTTGGAGTATCTGTAAGTGGATATTTGGAGCGCTTTGAGGCCTATGGTGGTAAAGGAAATATCTTCACATAAAAACTACACAGAAGCATTCTGAGATACTTCTTTATGATGTTTGCATTCATCTCACATAGTTGGACCATTCTTTTGATTGAGCAGCTTTGAAACACTCTCTTTGTAGAATGTGCAAGTGGATATTTGGAACACTTTGATGAGCATGGTGGAAAAGGAAATATCTTCACATAAAAACTAGACAGAAGTACTCTGAGAAACTTCTTTGTGATGTGCGCATTCATCTCAGATTTGAAAATTTCTTTTGATTGAGCAGTTTTGAATCGCTCTTTTTTTAGGATCTGCCAGGGGATATTTGGAGTGCTTTGAGGCCTATGGTGGAGAAGGAAATATCCTCACATAAAAATTAGAGAGAAGGATTCTGAGAAACTTCTTTGTGATGTGTGCATACATCTCACAGAGTTTAAACTTTCTATTGATTTAGCATTTTTTAAACACTTTTTGTAGGATCTGCAGTGGATATTTGGAGCCCTTTGGGGCCTATGGTGGAAAAGAATTATCTTCTCATAAAAACTAGACAGAAGCATTCTGAGAAACTTCTTTGTGATGTGTGCGTTCATCTCACAGATCTGAAACTTTCCTTTGAGCATTTTTGAAACACTCTTTTGGTAGAATCTGCAAGTGCAGATTTAGAGCGCTTTGAGGCTTGTGGTGGAAAAGGAAATATCTTCACATAAACACTAGACAGAAGCATTCTGAGAAACGTCTTTGTGATGTGTCCATTCATCTAACAGAGGTGAAACTTTCTTTTCATTGAACAGTTTTGAAACACTCTTTTTATAGAATCTGCAAGTGGATATTTGGAGCACTTTGGAGAGAATGGTGGAAATGGAAATATCTTCATATAAAAACTATGGAGAAGCATTCTGAGAAACGGCTTTGTTATGTGTGCCTTCAACTCACAGAGTTGAACCTTTCTTTTGATTGACCAGTTTTGAATCCCTCTTTTTGTATAATCTGCAAGTGGATATTTGGAGAGCTTTGGGGCCTATGGTGGAAAAGGAAATATCTCCACATAAAAACTACACAAAAGCATTCTGAGAAACTTCTTTCTGATGTATGCATACAACTCACAGAGTTGAAACTTTCTTTTGATTGTGCATTTTTGAAACACTTCTTTTGTAGAATCTGCAAGTGGATATTCAGAGGGCTTTGTGGAGTATAGTGGAAAAGGAAATAACTTTGGATAAAAGCTAGACAGCAGCATTCTGAGAAACTTCTTTGTGATGTGTGCATTCAACTCACAGAGTTGAACCTTTCTTTTGTTTGAGCAGTTTTGAAACACTATTTTTGTAAAATCTGCAAGTGGATACTTGGCGCGCTTTGCGGCCTATGGTGGAAAAGCAAATATCTTCACATAAAAACTAGAGAGAAGCATTCTGAGAATGTTCTTTGTGATGTGTGCATTCACCTCACAGAGTTGAAACTTTTTTGTTGAGGAGGTTTAAAACACTCTTTTTGTGGAATCCGCAAGTGGGTGTTTGGAGCACTTTGTGGCCTATAGTGGAAAAGGATGTATATTCACATAAAAACTAGACAGAAGCATTCTGAAAAACTACTTTGTGATGTGTGCATTCATCACAAAGAGTTGAACCTTTCTTTTGGTTAAGCAGTTTTGAAGCACTCTTTTTGTAGAATCTGTAAGTGGATATTTGGAGTGCTTTGAGGCTTATGGTGGTAAAGGAAATATCTTCACATAAAAACTACACAGAAGCATTCTGAGAAACTTCTGTGTGATGTGTGCATTCATCTCACAGGGTTGAACCTTACTTTTGTTTGAGCAGTATTCAAACACTGTTTTTGTAGAACCTGCAATTCGATATTTGGAGAGCTTTGAGGCCTATGTTGGTAAAGGAAATATCTTCAATTAAAATCTGGACAGAAGCATTCTGAGAAACTACTTTGTGATATGTGCATTCAACTCACAAAGTTGAACGTATCTTTGAGGAGTTTGGAAACATTCTTTTTGTAGCATCTGCAAATGTATATTTGGAGCGCTTTGAGGCCTATAGTTGAAAAGGAAATATCTTCACATAAAAACCACACAAAAGTATTCTTAGAAACTCCTTTATGATGTGTGCTTTTATCTCACATAATTCAACATTTCCTTTCATTGAGCAGTTTTGGAACACTTTTTTTGTGGAAACCGCAATTGGATATTTGGAATGCTTTGCCTCCTATAGTGGAAAAGGAAATATCTTCACATAAAAACTAGACAGAAGCATTCTGGGAATCTTCTCTGTGACGAGTGCATTCAACTCACTGGGTTGAACCTTTCTTTTGATTAAGTAGTTTCGAAACACTCTTTTTGTAGAATCTGCAGGTAGATATATGGAACACTTTGAGGCCTATGGTGGAAAAGGAAACATCTTCACATAAAAACTACACAGAAGCACTCTGAGAAACTTCTTTATGATGTGTGCAATGATCTCACAGAGTTGAAACTTTGTTTTGTTTGAGCAGTTTTGAAACACCGCTTTTGTAGAATCTGTAAGTGGATATTTGGAGTGCTTTGTTCCCTATTGTAGAGGAAATATCTTCACATAAAACTAGACAGAAGCATTCTGAGAAACTTCTTTGTGATGTGTGCATTCATCTCACACAGTTGAACCTTTCTTTTGATTCATCACTTTTGAAACACTCTTTTTGAAGAATATGCAAGTGGATATTTGAAGCGCATTGTGGCCTATAGTGGAAAATTTTATATCTTCACATAAAAACTAGACAGAAGCATTCTGAGAAACTTCTTTGGGATATATGCATTCATCTCACAGACTTGAAACTATTTTGATTTAGCATTTTAGAAACACCCTTTTGTAAAATCTGCAAGTGGATATTTTGAGCGCTTTGCATCCTCTAGTGGAAAAGGAAATATCTTCACACAGAAAAAAGACAGAAGCATTCTGAGAAACCTGTGTGTGATGTGAGCATTCCTCCCACAGAGTTGAACCTTTCTTTTGATTGAGCAGTTTTGAAACACACTTTTTGTTGAATCTGCAATTGGATATTTGGAGAGCCTTGGGGCCTATGGTGGAAAAGTAAATATCTTCACATAATAACTGCACAGAGGTATTCTAAGAAACTTCCTTCTGATGTGCACATTCAGTTCACTGAATTGTACCTTTCCTTTGATTGAGCAGTTTTGAAACACTCTTTTGCAGAATCTGCAATTGGATATTTGAAGCTCTTTCCAGTCTCAAGTGGAAAAGGAAATATCTTCACATAAAAAATAGACAGAAGCATTCTGCGAAATTTTTGTGATGTGTGCATTCTTCTAACAGAGTTGAACTTTTATTTTGATTGAGCAATTTTGAAACACTCTTTTTGTAGATTCTGCAAGTGGACATTTGGAGCTCTTTCAGTCCTATGGTGGTAAAGGAAATAACTTCACACAAAAACTAGACAGAAGCATTCTGAGAAACTCCTTTGTGATGTGTGCATTCATCTCACAGGTTTGAACCTTTCTTTTGGTTGAGCAGTTTTGAAACACACTTTTTGTAGAATCTGAAGGTGGATATTTGGAACACTTTGGGGCCTATGGTATAAAAGGAAATATCTTCACATAAAAACTAGACAGAGCATTCTGAGAAACAACTTTGTGATGCGTGCTTTCATCTCACAAAGTTGAACGTTTCTTTTGATTGAGTAGTATTGAAACGCACATTTGTAGACTCTACCAGTGGATATTTGGAGTGCTTTGGGGCCTACGGTGGAAAAGGATATATCTTCACATAAAAACTAGACAGAAGCATTCTGAGAAACTTCTTTGTGATGTGTGCATTCAACTAACACTGTTGAACCCTTCTTTTGATTGAGCAATTTTGAATCACTTTTTTTGTAGAATCTGCAAGTGAATATTTGGAGTGCTTTGCAGACTACAGTTTAAAAGGGAATATATTCACCTAAAAACTAGACAGAAGCATTCTGATAAACTTTGTTGTAATGTGTGCATTCAACTAACAGAGTTGAACCTTTCTTTTGATTGAGCAGTCTGGAAACACTCTTTTTGAAGAATCTGTAAGTGGATATTTGGAGCACTTTGCAGCCTATTGTGGAAAAGGATAAATCTTCAAATAAAAACTAGACAGAAGCATTCTGAGAAACGTCTTTGTGAGATGTGCATTCATCTCACAGACTTGAACCTTTCTTTCGATTGAGCAGTTTTGAAACACTCTTTTTGTAGAATCTGCAAGGGATATTTGAAGAGCTTTGAGGCCTAATGTGGAAAAGGAATTATCTTCACATAAAAACTAGACAGAAGCATTCTGAGAATCTTCTTTGTGAAGTGTGCATTCATCTCACAGAGCTGAAACTTTCTTTTGATTCAGCAGTTTTGAAATACTCTATTTATGGAATCTGCTTGTGGATTTTTGGAGCGCTTTGAGGCATGTGGTGGAAAAGGAAATATCTTCACATGAAAACTAGACAGAAGCATTCTGAGAAAATTCTTTGTTATGTGTGCATTCAACTCACGGAGTTGAACCTTTCTTTTGATTGAGCAGTTTGGAAACACTCTTTTTGTAGTATCTGCAAGTGGATATATGGAGCGCTTGTG
>NC_000014.9:16113232-16130858 GCF_000001405.40 Homo sapiens | reverse complement strand
AACAGTCGTTTTTTATAATCTGCAGAAGGATACTTGTGAGCCATTGAGGTCTATGGGGTGATAAGAATATGTTCACATAAAAACTAGATAGAAAGTTTCCGAGAAACTTCTTTGTGATATTTGCTTTCATCTCATAGAGTTGAAACTTTCTTTTTATTGAGCTGTTTGGGAACAGTCTTTTTGTAGTACCTGCAAATGGATATTACCAGTGCTTTGAGGCCTATGGTGAAAAAGGAAATATCTTCACATAAAAACAAGGCAGAAGCATTCTGAGAAACTTCTTTGTGATGTCTGCATTCATCTCACAGAGTTGAACCTTTCTTTTGATTGAGCAGTTTTGAAACGCTCTATTTGTAGTATCTGCAAGTGGATATTTGGAACGATTTGAGGCCTATAGTCGAAAAGGAAATATCTTCACATAAAAAACTAGAAAGAAGAATTCTGAGAAACTTCCCAGGAAGGTGTATTTTCGTCTCACACTGTTAAACCTTTCTTTTGATTGAGCAGATTCGATACAGTCGTTTAGTAGAATATGAAAGGGAATATTTGAGAGCCCATTGAGGCCTCTGGGGAAGTAAGAAATAACTTCACCTAAAAATTAGACAAAAACTTTCTGAGAAACTTCCTTGTGATGTGTGTATTCATCATACACAGTTGAACTTTCTTTTGATTGAGCGGTTTGGATACAGTCATTTGTATTATCTATAAATGGATATTTGGAGCGTATTGAGGCCTATGGTGAAAAAGGAAATATCCTCACATAAAATTCAGATGGAAGCATTCTTAGAAACTTCTTTGTGATGTGTGCATTCATCTCACAGACTTCAAACTTTCTTTTGATTGAGCAGTTTTGAAACCCTCTTTTTGCAGTATCTGCAAGTGTATATTTGAAGCGCTTTGAGGCCTCTGGTGGAAAAGGAAACATCTTCACATAAAAACTAGACAGAAGCATGCTGAGAAACTTCTTTGTGATGCGTGCATTCAACTAAAAAAGTTGAACATTTCTTTTGATTGAGTAGTTTGGAAACAGTCTTTTTGTAGAATCTGCAAGTGGATATTTGGAGTGCTTTACGGCCTATAGTGGAAAACGAAATACCTTCACATAAAAACTAGACAGAAACATTCTGAGAAACTTATTTGTGATATGCACATTCATCACAAAGAGTTGAACATTTCTTTCAATTGAGCAGCTTGGAAACAGTCCTCTTGTAGAATCTGTGAAGGGATACTTCTCAGCCCATTGATGCCTATGGATGAAATAGGAAATATTCTCACATAAAAACTAGACAGAAATTTCTGAGAAACTTCTTTGTGATATGTGGTTTCATCTCACAGAGTTGAACCGTTCTTTTGGTTGAGAAGATTGGAAACACTCTTTTTGTAGAATCTGCAAGTGGATATTTGGAGCACATTGAGGCCTATGGTGGAAAACGAAATATTTTCACATAAAAATTAGACAGAAGCATTCTGAGAAACTTCTTTGTGATGTGTGCATTCAACTCACAGAGTTCAACCTTTCTTTTGATTCAGCAGTTTTGAAACACTCTTTTTGTAAAATCTGCCAGTGGATCTTTGGAGCGCTTTGAGGCCTATGGTGGTAAAGGAAATATCTTCACATAAATAGTACACAGAAGCATTCTGAGAAACTTCTTTGTGATGTGTGCATTCAACTCAAAGAGTAGAATCCTTCTTTTGATTGAGCAGCTTTGAAAGACTCCTTTTGTAGAATCTGCAAGTGGATCTTTGGAGCGCTATGTGGCCTTAAGTGGAAAAGGCAATATCTTCACATAAAAACTAGACAACAGCATTCTGAGAAACTTCTTTGTGATGTATGCCTTCATCTCACAGAGTTGAAGCTTCCTTTTGATTGAGCAGTTTGGAAATAGTCTTTCTGTAGAATCTCCAATTGGATACTTGGAGCGCTTTGAGGCCTATGGTGGAAAAGGAAATAACTTCACATGAAAACTACACAGAAGCATTCTGAGAAATTGGTTTGTGATGAGTGCATTCAACTCACAGAGTTGAACCTTTCTTTTGATTGAGCAGTTTTGAAACACACTTTTTTTAGGATCTGCAAGTGGATATTTGTAGCGCTTTGTGGCCTATTGTGGAAAAGGATATATCTTCACATAAAAACAATGGAGAAGCATTCTGAGAAACTTTTTGTGATGAGTGCATTCAACTCACAGAGTTCAACCTTTCTTTTGATTGAGCCGTTTTGAAACGCTCTTTTTGTAGAGTGTGAAAGTGGATATTTGGAGCACTTTGTGGCCTATAGGGGAAAAGGAAATATATTCACATAAAAATTAGACAGAACATTCTCAGAAACATCTTTGTGATATGTGCATTCATTTCACAGAGTTGAAATTTTCTTTTTATTGACCAGTTTTGAAACACTCTTTCTGTACAGTGTGCCAGTGGATATTTGTAGCACTTTGAGGCCTATGGTGGAAAACGAAATATGTATTCACAGAAGCATTCTGTGATACTTCTTTGTGATGTGTGCATTCATCTCACAGAGTTGAACCATTCTTTTGATTGAGCAGTTTTGAAATACTGTTTTGTAGAATCTGCAGGTGGATATTTGGAGTGCTTTGTGGCCTATAGTGGTGAAGCAAATATATTCACATAAAAACTAGACAGAAGCATTCTGAGAACGTTCTTTGTTATGTGTGCATTCAACTCACAGACTTGAACCTTTCTTTTGATTGAGCAGTTTTGAATGTCTCTTTTTGTAGAATCTGCAAATGGATATTTGGAGCACTTTTAGGCCTATGGTGGAAAAGGAAATATCTTCACATAAAAACTACAGAGAAGCATTTTGAGAAACTTCTTTGTGATGTGTGCATTCAACTCACAGTGTTCAACCTTTCTTTTGATTGAGCAGTTTTGAAACACTCTTTTTGTAAAATCTGCCAATGGATATTTGGAGCACTTTGAGGCCTATAGTGGAAAAGGAAATATCTTCACATAAATCGTAGACAGAAGCATTCTGAGAAACTTCTTTGGATGTGTGCATTCAACTCACGGAATGGAAACCTTCTTTTGATAGAGCAGTTTTGAAAGACTCCTTTTGTAGAACCTGCAATTTGGAGCGCTATGTGGCCTTAAGCCAGACAGAAGCATTCTGAGAAACTTCTTTGTGATGTGTGCATTCATCTCACAGAGTTGAACCATTCTTTTCATTGAGCAGTTTTGAAACACTCTTTTTGTAGAACCTACAAGTGGATATGTGGAGCACTTTATGGCCATGATAGAAAAGGAAATATCTTCACATAAAAACTAGACAGAATAATTCTAAGATATTTCTTTGTGATGTGCACATTCACCTCATGGAGTTGAACATTTCTTTTGATTGAGCAGTTTTGAAACACTCTTTTTGTAGAATCAGCAGTTGGATATTTAGAGCCCTTTGAGGCCTATGGTGGAAAAGGAAATATCTTCACATAAAAACTAGACAGAAGCATTCTGAGAAACTTTTTTTGTGATGTGTGCATTCAACTCATCGAGTTGAACATGTCTTTTTATTGAGCAGGTTGGAAACATTCTTTTTGTAACATCTGCAAATTTGTATTTGGACAGCTTTGAGGCCTATAGTGGAAAAGGAAATATCTGCACATAAAAACTAGACAGAAGCATTCAGAGAAACTTCTTTGTGATGTGTGCATTCATCTCACAGAGTTGAACCATTCTTTTCATTGAGCAGTTTTGAAACACTCTTTTTGTAGAATCTGCAAGTGGATATTTGGATCACTTTGAGGCATATGGTGGAAAAGAATGTATCTTCACATAAAAACTAGCCAGAAGCATTCTGAGAAACTTCTTTGTGATGTGTGTATTCAACTCACAAAGTTGAACCTTTATTTTGATTGAGCAGTGTTGAAACACACTTTTTGTAGAATCTGCAAGTGGATATTTGGAGCGCTTTGTGGCCTATTGTGGAAAAGGAAATATCATCACATAAAAACAAGATAGAAGCATTCTGAGAAACTTCTTTGTGATGTGTGCTTTCAGCTCACAGAGTTGAACCTTTCTTTTGATTGAGCAGTTTAGAAACACTCTTTTTGTAGAATCTGCAAGTGGATATTTAGAGTGCTTTGATGCCTATGGTGGAAAAGGAAATATCTTCACATAAAAACTAGACAGAAGCATTCTGAGAAACTTCTTTGTGTTGTGTGCATTCATCTCACAGAGTTGAACTTACTTTTTGTTGAGCAGTTTTGAAACACTCTTTTTGTAGAATCTGCCATTGGATATTTGGAGCGCTGTGAATCCTGTAGTGGAAAAGGACATATCTTCACATAAGAAGTATAAAGCAGGTTTTGTTAAAACAACCTTGTGGTGTGTGCATTCATCTCACAGAGGTAAGTGTTTCTTTTCTCCAATCAGTCTGGAAACTCTGTTCTTGTACAATCTCAAAAGGGGTATTTTTGAACACTGTGAGGCCTATTGTGACAAAGGAAATAACTTCACATTCAAAGTATAAATAAAGTTTCTGAGATACTTCTTGGTGATATGTGCATTCGTCTCACAGATTTGAACCTCTCTTTTAATTCAGCTGTTTGGAAACAGTCTTTTTGAAGAATCTGCAAACGGATATTTGTGAGCACTCTGAGGCCTATGCAGGAAAAGAGGTATCTTCACAGAAAACTATAAAGAAGGTTTCTGAGAAACTGTTTTGTGATGTCTGCATTCATCTCTCAGAGGTAAACGATTCTTTTCTTTGATCAGTTAGGAAACTCTGTTCTTGTATAATGTGCTAAGGGACATTTTTGAGTGCCTGGAGCCCTATGGTGAAAAAGAAATTATCTTCACATAAAAACTAGACAGAAGCCTACTGAGAAACTTCTTGGTGATGTGTGCATTCATCTCACAGAATTGAAACTGTCTTTTGATTGAGCAGTTTGGAAACATCTTTTTGTGGAATTTGTAAAGGGATATTTCTGAGCACTTTGAGGCCTATGGTGAAAGGGAAAGTATCTTCACATAAAAACTACACTAAAGATTTCTGAGAAACTGCTTTGTGATGTATGCATTCACCTCACAGAGTTCAACAATTCTTTTGATTGAGCAGTTGGGAAACCGTCTTTTTGTAGAATCTGCAAAGGGATATTTGTGAGGGCTTTGAGTCCTATGGTTAAAAGAAAATATCTTCACATAAAAACTATAAGGAAGGTTTGTGAGAAACTTCTTTATGATGTGTGCATTCATCTCACAGAGTTGAACCATTCCTTTGACTCAGCTGTTTAGAAACAGTCTTTTTTTAGGATCTGCAAAGGGATATTTTTGAGCACTTTGAGGCCCATAGTGAAAAAGGAAACACTTTCACATAAAAACGAGATAGAAGTTTTTTGAGAATCATCTTTTTGATATGTGCATTCATCCCATAGAGGTGAACCTGTCTTTTGATGAGCATTTTGGAAACAGTATTTTGTAGAATTTCCAAAGGGTTTTTAGTTAGCGTTTTGTGTCCTATGTTGGAAAAGCAATTATTTTTACATAAAAACTAGACGGAATATTTCTGAGAAACTGCTTTGTGATCTGTGTTTTCATCTCACAGAGGTAACCATTTCTTTTTATTGAACAGATTGGAAATTATGTTCTTGTAAAATCTGCAAAGGAATATTTGTAGTACTTTGAGGTCTATGGTGAAAAAGGAACTATCTTCACATAAAAACTAGATGGAAGCTTTCTGTGAAACTTCTTGGAGATGCGAGAATTCATCTCTCAGAGTTGAAATATTCTTTTGATTGGGCAGTTTGTATACAGTATTTTGGTAGAATCTGAAAAGGGATATTTGTGATGCTTTGGAAGCCTATGGTGAAAAACGAAATATTTTCACATGAAAACTAGAGAGAAGCCTTCTGAGAAACCTCCTTGTGATGTGTGCATTCATCTCACAGATTTGAAACTTTCTTTGGATTGAGCAATTTGGAAGCAGTATTTTTGTAGAATCTGTAAAGGCATATTTTTGAGAGCTATGAGGCCCATGATGAAATAGGAAATATCTTCACATAAAAACTAGACAGAAACTTTCCAAGAAACTTCTTTGTGATGTGTGCATTCATCTCGTGGAGTTCAACCATTCTTTTGATTGAACAGTTTGGAAACACTCTTTGTGTAGAATCTGCAAAGGGATATTTATGAGTGCTTTGAGGCCTATGGGGAAAAAGGAAATGTATTCACTTAAAAAGTATAAACAAGGTTTCTCAGAAACAGTTTTGTGATGTAGGCATTCATCTCACAGAGGTAAACGTTTCTTTTCTCTGATCTGTCTGGAAACTGTTCTTGTAGAGTCTGCAAAGGGATATTTGTGAGTGCTTTGAAGCCTATGGTGAAAAAGGAAATATCTTCACATAAAAATTAGAGAGAGGCTTTCTGAGAAACCTCTTTGTGATGTGGACGTTCATCTCACAAAGTTGAAACTTACTTTTGATTGAGCAGTATGGAAACCGTCTGTTTGTGGAAGCTGCAAAGGGATATTTATGAGAGCTTTGAGGCCAATGGTGAAAGAGGAAATATATTCATATAAAAGGTATAAAGAAGGTTTCTTAGAAACAGCTTTGTGGTGTGTGCATTGATCTCAGAGAGGTAAACTTTTATTTTCTATGATCAGTCTGGAAACTCTGTTCTTGTAGAATCTGCAAAGGGATATTTGTGAGTGCTTTAAGGCCTATGGTGAAAAAGGAAACATCTTCACTTAAAAACTAGACAGAAGCTTTCTTAGTGGCTTCCTTGTGATGTGTGCAATCATCTCACAGAGTTGAACCATTCTTTTGATTGAATAGTCTGGAAACAGTCTTTTTGTAGAATCTGCAAGGGATATTTGTCATGACTTGGAGTGCTATGGTGAAAAAGGAAATATCTTCACATAAAAAATGGACAGAAGATTTCTGAGAAACCTTCTTTTGATGTGTGCATCCATCTCACAGAGTTCAAACATTTTTTTGATTGAGCAGTTGGGAAGCAGTCTTTTTCCAGAATCTACAAAGGGATATTACTGAGCACTTTGAGGCCTGTGGTGGAAAAGGAAATATCTTCACATAAAAACTATAAACAAGGTTCCTGAGAAACTTCTTTGTGATGTATGCATTCATCACAGGGAGTTGAACTATTCTTTGATTGAGCACTTCGGAAACAATCTTTTTGTAGAAGCTGCAAAGGGATATTTTTGAGTGCTTTGAGTCCTAAGGAGAAATTAGAAATATCATCACATAAAAAGTATAAAGAAGGTTTCTGAGAAACTGTTTTGTGATGTGTGCATTCATCTCACAGAGAAAAACGTTTGTTTTCTTTGATCAGTCTGGAAATTCTGTTCTTGCAGAATCTGCTAAGGGATATTTTTGAGCAGATGGAGGCCTATGGTGAAAAAGGAAATGTCTTCATATAAAAACTAGACAGAAGCCTCCTGCAAAACTTCTTAGTGATGTGTGCATTCATCTCACAGAGTTGAAACTTTCTTTCCATTGAGCCACTTGGAAACAGTCTTTTTGTGGACTCTGCAAATGGATATTTGGAGCACTTTGAGGCCTATGGTGAAAAATGAAATATCTTCACATAAAAACCAGACTGAAAGTTTCTGAGAAACTTCTTTGAGATGTGTGCATTCATCTCACAAAGTTCAATAATTCTTTTTATTGAGCGGTTTGGAAACAGTCTTTTTGTAGAATCTGCAAAGAGATATTTGTGAGGGCTTTGAGGCCTATGGTGAAAAAGGAAATATCTTCACAGAAAAACTATAAAGAAGGTTTCTGAGAAACTTATTTGTGATGTGTGCATTCATCTCACGTAGTTCAAACTTTCTTTTGATTGAGCAGTTTGGAAACAGTCTTTTTAAACATTCTTCAAGTGGATACTTTTGAGCACCTTGAGGCTCATGGGGAAAAAGGAAACATTCACATAAAAACTTAATAGAAGCTTTCTGAGAAACTACTTTTTGACGTGTGCATTCATCTCACAGAGTTGAACGTTTCTTTTGATGAGCAGTGTGGAAACAATCTTTTTGTAGAATCTGCAAAGGGACAATTTTGAGTGCTTTGCATCCTGTGGTGGAAAAGGAGATACCTTCACATAAAAACTAGACAGAATGTTTCTCAAAAACTGCTTTGTGATATGTGCATTCATCTCCCAGATGTGTCTGTTTCTTTTCATTGAGAAGATTGGAAAATCTTGTAAGATCTGCAAAGGGATATTTGTGAGCCCTTTGAGGTGTGTGGTGAAAAAGGACATATCTTCACATAAAAACTACACAGAAGCTTTCTGAGAAACATCCTGGTGATGTGAGTATTCGCCTTACAGAGTTGAAACATTCTTTTGATTGAGCAATGTGTAGAGTCTTTTTGTAGTATCTGCAAAGGGATATTTGTAAATGCTTTGAGGCCTATGGTGAAAAAGGAAATATCTTCACATAAAAACTAGAGAGAAGCTTTCTGAGAAACCTCTTTGTGGTGTGAATACATCTCACAGACTTGAACCTTTCTTTTGATTGAGCAATTTGGAAGAAGTATTTTTGTAGAAGCTGCAAAGGGATATTTCTGAGCACTTTGAGGCTTATGGTGAAAAACTAGACAGAAGCATTCTGAGAAACTGCTTCGTGATGTGTGCATTCACCACACAGAGTTGAACCTTTGTTTTTATTGAGCAGTTTGGAAACAGTCTTTTTGTAGACTCTGCAAAGGATATTTGGAGCACTTTGAGGCCTATCATGAAAAAGGAAATATATTCACATAAAAACTAGACTGGAGGATTCTGAGAAACTTCTTTGAGCTGTGTGCATTCATCTGACAGTGTTCAATAATTCTTTTTATTGAGCGGTTTGGAAACAGTCTTTTTGTAGAATCTGCAAAGGGATATTTGTGAGGTCTTTGAGGCCTATGTTGAAAAAGGAAATATCTTCACAGAAAAACCATAAAGAAAGTTTCTGAGAAATTTCTTTGGATGTGTGCATTCATCACAAAGAGGTGAAACATTCTTTGGATTGAGCAGTTTGCAAACAGTCTTTTTTTGTAGAATCTGCAGAGGGATATTTGTAGCACTTTGAGGCCTATGGTGAATAAGGAAATATCTTCACATAAAAACTAGACAAAAGTTTTCTGAGAAAATTTTGTTATGTGTTCATTTATCTCATAGAGTTTAACGTTTGTTTTGATTGAGCAGTTTGGAAACAGTCTTTTTGTAGAATCTGCAAAGGGATATTTAGGAGCAAGTTGAGGCCTATGGTGAAAAAGGAAATATCTTCACATAAAAACTAGAAAGAAGCATTCTGAGAAGCTGCTTTAAGATATGTATATTCATCTCACAGAGGTAAACATTTCTTTTCATTGAGCAGTTTGTAAACTCTGTTATTCTAGAGTCTGCAAAGGGATTTTTTTGAGTGCTTTGAGACCCACGTTGAAAAAGGAAATATCTTCACATAAAAACTTGTGAGAAGCTTGCTGAGAAACTACTTCTGATGTGTGCATTCATCTAACAGAGTTGAAACTTTCTTTTGATTGAGCAGTTTGAAAACAGTCTTTTTGTAGATTCTGCAAAGGTATATTTGGGAGTGCGTTGAGGCCTATGTTCAAAAAGGAAATATCTTCACATAAAAATGAGACGGGAGTTTTCTGAGAAACTTCTTTGTGATGTGCACATTTGTCTCACAGGGTTGAACCATTCTGTTTATTGAGCAGTTTGGAAACCATATTTTTGTAGAATCTGCAAAGGGATATCTGCGAGCACATTGAGGCATATGGTGAAAAAGGAAATATCTTCACATTAAAAGTAGAAAGAAGTTTTCTGAGTAACTCCTTTGTGACGTTTGCATTTATCACACAGAAGTAAAAATTTCTTCCCATTGAGCAGTTAGTTTTTATGTGAAGATATTTCCGTTTTCACTATAGACCTCAAACCACCTACATATATCCCTTTGCAGATTCTACAAAAAGACTGTTTCCAAACTGCTCAATCAAAGAAAACTTCCACTCTGCGAGATGAATGCACACATCACAGATAAGTTTCTCAGAAAGTTTCTGTCTAGTTTTTATTTGCTGATACTCCCTTTTTCACCATAGGCCTCAAACCGCTCATAAATAACCCTTTGCAGATTCTACAAAAAGACTGTTTCCAAACTACTCAATCACAAGAAAGCTTCAACTGTGTGACATGAATTCACACATCACAAAGAAGTTTTTCAGAAATCTTCTGTCTAATTTTTATGTTAAGATACTTCCTTTTTCACCACAGGCCTCAAATATCTCCAAATATCCATTTGCAGATTCTACAAAAAGACTTTCCAAACTGCTCAATCAAAAGAAAGGTTCAACACTGTGAGATGAAGGTACACATCACAAAGAAGTTTCTCAGAAATCTTCTGTCTAGTTTTTATGTGAAGATATTTTGTATTTCACCACAGGCCATAAGGGGATCACAAATATCCCTTTGCAGATTCTACAAAACGACTGTTTCCAAACTGCTCAAACAAAAGTAAGGTTCAACTCTGTGACATGAATGGACACATCACAAAGAAGTTTCTCAGAATGCTTCTGTCTAGTTTTTATGTGCAGATATTTCGTTTTCACCATAGGTCTCAAATGGCTCAGAAATATCCCTTTGCAGATTGTACAAAAAGACTGTTTCCAAGATGCTCAGTCAAAAGAATGATTCAACTCTGTGAAATGAAAGCACACATCACAAAGAAGTTTCTCAAAATTCTTCTCTCTACTTTTTATGTGAATATATTTCCTTTTTAAACCTAGGCCTCAAAGCTCTCCAAATATCCATTTGTAGATTCTTCCAAAGACTGTTTCCAAAGTGATCAATCAACAGAAGGGTTCAACTCTGCAGGATGAAAGCACACATCACAAAGAAGTTTCTCAGAAAGCTTCTGTCTAGTATTTATGTGAAGATATTTCCTATTTCACTGTAGGCCTCAATGGGATCACAAATATCCCTTTGCAGATTCTACAAAAAGACTGTTTATGAACTGCTCAATGAAAAGAAAGGTCCAACTCTGTGAGGTGAATGCACAGATAAAAAGGAAGTTTCTCAGAATGCTTGTGTCTAGTTTTTATGTGAAGTTATTTCTTTTTCACCATAGGCCTCAAACCACTCAGAAATATTACTTTGTAGTTTGCACAAAAAGAATGTTTCCAAACTCCTCAATGAACAGAAAGGTTCAACTCTTTGAGATGAATGCAAACATCACAAAGAGTTACCTCAAAAAGCTTCTGTCTGGTTTTTATGTGAAGATATTTAGTTTTTCACCATAGGCCTCAAACAGCTCACAAATATACCTTTGCAGATTCTACAAAATGACTTGTTCCCAAACTACTCAATGAAAAGAAAAGATTGAATCTGTGAGATGAAAGCACGCATCATGAAGAAGTTTCTCAGAAAGTTTCTATCTAGTTCTTGTGTGCAGATTCTTCCTTTTTCACCTTATGCCTCAAAGCGCTCCAAATATCTGTTTACAGGTTCTACAAAAAGAGTGTTTCCAAACTGCTCAATCAAAGGAAAGGTTCAATTCTGTGAAATGAAAGGACACACCACAAGGAAGTTTCTCAGAATGCTTCTGTCTAGTTATTATGTGAAGATAATCCCTATTTCACTATAGGACTCAAAGAACTCAGAAATATCCCTTTGCAGATTCTATGAAATGACTGTATCCAAACTGCTCCATCAAAAAAAAGGTTCAACTCTGTGAGATGAAAGCACGCATCACAAAGAAGTTTCTCAGAAAGCTTCTGTCTAGTTTTTATGTAAAGATATTTCCTATTTCACCATAGGCCTCAAAGGGCTCAGAAATATCCCTTTGCAGATTCTCCAAAAAGACTGCTTGCAAACTGCTCAATGAAAAGAAAGGCTAAATTTTGTCACACATCACTAAGAAGTTTCTCAGAATGCTTTTGTCTTGTTTTATGTGAAGAAGTTTCATTTTTCACCATAGGCCTCAAAGTGCTCCAAATATCCATTTGCAGATTCTACAAAAAGACTTTTTCCAAATTGCTCAATCAAAAGAACGGTTCAACTGTGTGTGATGAATGCACACATCACAAAGAATTTTCTCAGAAAACTTCTGTTTAGTTTTTATGTGAAGATATTTCCTTTTTCACCATGGGCCTCAAAGCACTCCAAATATCCACTTGCAGAATCTACAAAAAGAGTGTTTTCAAACTGCTTAATCACAAGAAAGTTTCAACTCTATGAGATGAAAGCACACTTCACAAAGGAGTTTCTTAGAAACCTTCTATCTAATTTTTATGTGAAGATATTTCATATTTCAAAATAGGTCTCAATGGGCTCAGAAGTATACTCTTGCAGATGCTACAAAAAGAGTGTTTCCAAAAAGCTCAATCAAAAGAAAGGTTTAACACTGTAAGATGAATGCGCACATTACAAAGAAGTCTCTCAGAATGCTTCTGTATACTTTTTTTGAGAAGCCATTTCCTTTTTCACCATAGGCCTCAGTCCACTCAATAATAGCGCACTTCAGACACTACAAAAGACTCTTTCCAAGCTGCTCAATCAAAATAAAGGTTCACATCTGTGAGATGAAAGCCCACGTCACAAAGAAGTTTCTCAGAAATTTTCTGTCTAGTTTTTATGTGAGGATATTTCCTATTTCACCTTAGGCCTCAAAGAGATAAAAAATATCCCTTTTCAGACTCTACAAAAAACTGTTTCCAAACTGCCTCATCAAAAGAAAGGTTCAACTCTGTGAGATCAATGCACACATAAAAAATTAGTTTCTCAAAATGCTTCTGTCTAGTTTTTATGTGAAGATATTACTTTTTCACCATAGGTCTCAAACCGCAAACAAATATTCCTTTGCAGGTTGCACAAAAAGTATGATTCAACACTGCTTAATGAATAGAAAGGTTCAACTCAGTGAGATGAATGCAAACATCACAAAGAGTTTTCTCAAAATGCTTCTGTCTAGGTTTTAGGTGAAGATATTTACTTTTTCACTATTGGCCTCAAACCACTCACAAATATCCCTTTGCAGATTCTACAAAATGACTTGTTGCCAAACTGCTCAATGAAAACAAGGTCCAACTCTGTGAGATGAAAGCACACATCACAAAGAAGTTTCTCAGAAAGTTTCCCAGAAAGTTTCCGACTAGTTTTTATATGCAAATATTTTCTTTTTAACCATAGGCCTCAAAGCACTACAAATATTCTTTTGCAAGTTCTACAAAAAGAGTGTTTCCAAACTGCTCAATCAAAAGAGAGGTTCAACTCTGTGAGTTGAAAGCACACAACACAAGGAAGTTTTACAGAAAGCTTCTGTCTAGTTTTTATGTGAAGACATTCCTATTTCACCATAGGCTCCAATGTGCTCACAAACATCCTTTTGCAGATTCTACAAAAGGACTCTTTCCAAACTGCTCAATCCAAAGAAAGTTTCAACTCTGTGACATGAATGCACACATCACAAGGAAGTTTTTCAGAATGCTTCTGTCTAGTTTTTATGTGAAGAAATTTCCTGTTCACCATAGGCCTGTAATGCTGCAAATATCCATCTTCAGATTCTACAAAAAGAATGTTTCCAAACTGCTCAATCAAAAGAAAAGTTCAACTCTGTGAGATGAAAGCACACATCACAAAGAATTTTCTCAGGAAGCTTTTGTCTAGTTTTTTGTTTTGTGAAGATATTCCCTATTTCACCATAGGCCTGAAAGGGCTCACAAATATCCTTTTGCATATTATACAAAAAGACTGTCTCCAAACTGCTCAATCAAAAGAAAGTTTCAACTCTGTGTGATGAATGCACACATTACAAAGAAGTTTCTTAGAATGCTTTTGTCTAGTTTTTATATGAAGATATTTATCTCACAATAGGCCTCAAATGGCTCAGAAATATCCCTTTGCAGATTGTACAAAAAGACTGTTTCCAATCTGCTCAATCAAAAGTAAGTTTCAACACTGTGAGATGAATGCACACATCACAAAGAAGTTTCTCAGAATGCTTCTGTTAAGATTTCATGTGAAGATATTTCCTTTTTCACCATAGGCCTCAATGGGCTCAGAAGTATCCCTTTGTAGATTCTACAAAAGGTCTGTTTAGAAAACTGCTCAGTCCAAAGAAAGGTTCAACTCTATGAGATGAATGCACACATCTCAAAGAAGTTTCTCACAATGGATCTGTCGAGGTTTCTGTGAAGATATATCCGTTTTAACCATAGGCCTTAAACTGCTCATGAATATCCCTCTGCAGATACTACAAAAAGACTGTTTCCAAACTGCTGCATCCAAAGAAATTTTCAATTCTGTGAGATGAATACACACATCACAAAGAAGTTTCTCAGAATGCTTCTGTCTGGTTTTTATGTGAAGATATTTCCTATTTCACCATAGGCTGTAAAGGGCTCCCAAATATCCATTTGCATATTCAAAAAAAAGACTGTTTCCAAACTGTTCAAACTAAAGAAAGGTTCAACTCTGTGAGATGAATGCACACACCAGAAAGAGGTTTCTCAGAATGCTTCTGTCTGGTTCTTAGGTTTTTGTGTGAAGATATTTCCTTTTTCAGCATAGGACTCAGTGGGCTCAGAATTATCTCTTTGCAGATTCTACAAAAGGACTGTTTAGAAAACTGCTGAATCCAAAGAAAGATTCAATTCTGTGAGATGAATGCACACTTCACAAAGAAGTTTTGCAGAATACATCTGTCTAGTTTTTCTGTGAAAATATTTCTTTTTTCACTATAGGCCTCAAAGCACTCAAAATACCCATTTGTACATTCTACAAAAAGAGTGTTTCCAAACTGCTCAATCAAAAGTAAGGTTCAACCCTATGACACGGAAGCAAACATCACAAAGAAGTTTCTCAGAAAGCTTCTGTCTAGTTTTTGTGTGAAGGTATTTCCTATTTCACCATGGGACATATAGTGCTCACAAATATTTTTGTAAATTCTACAAAAGGGCTGTTTCCAAACTGCTCAATCCAAAGAAAGTTTCAACTCTGTGAGATGAGCGGACACACCACAAAGAAGTTTATCAGAATGCTTCTATCTAGTTTTTATGTGAAGACATTTCTTTTTCACCCTAGGCTTCAATGGGCTCAGAAATACCCCTTTGTAGATTCTACAAAAGGACTGTTTCCAAACTGCTCAATCAAAGAAAGGTTCAACTCTATGAGATGAATGCACACATCACATAGATGTTCCTCACAATCCTTCTGTCTGTTTTTTATGTGAAGATATTTCCTTTTTCACCATAGGCCTCAAACTGCTCCAAACATCCATTTGCTGATTCGACAAAAAGACTGTTTCTAAACTCCCCAATCAAAGAAGGATTCAACTGTATGAAATGAATGCAGACATCACAGAGATGTTTCTCACAATGCTTCTGTGTGTTTTTTTATGTGAAGGTATTTACTTTTTCACCATAGGCCTCAAAGTGCTCCAAACATCCATTTGCTGATTCCACAAAAAAACCCATTCCAAACTGCTCAATCAAAAGAAAGGTACAACTCCATGTGTTGAAAGCATGCATCACAAAGAAGTTTCTCAGAAAGCTTCTGTCTAGTTTTTCTTTGAGGATATTTCCTGTTTCACCATGGGCCATAAAGGGCTCAAAAATATTTTTCACAGATTCTACAATAAGACTGTTTCCAAACTGCTCAATCCAAAGAAAGGTTCAACTCTGTGAGATGAATGGACACAAGACAAAGAAGTTTCTCAGAATACTTCTGTCTAGGGTTCATGTGAGATATTTCCTTTTTCACCATAGGCCTCAAAGTGCTCCAAATATCCATTTGCAGATTCCACAAAAAGACTGTTTCCAAATTGCTCAATAAAAAGAAAGTTTCAACTCTGTGAAGTGAAAGCACACATCACAAAGAAGTTTCTCAGAATGTATATTTGTAGTTTTTTTGTGAAGATATTTCCTTTTTCACCATTGGCCTCAACATGCTCAAAATATCCATTCGCAGATTCTACCAAAAGACTGTTTACAAACTGCTAAATCGAAAGAAAGTTTCAGCTCTGTGATATGAATGCACGCATCACAAAGAAGTTTCTCAGAAAGCTTCTGTTTAGTGTTTATCTGAAGATATTTCCTTTTTCACCCCAGGCCTCAAAGTGCTCCAAATATGCATTTCCAGATTCTATAAAAAGTCTGTTTCCAAGCTGCTCAATGAAAAGAAAGGTTCATCTCTGTGAGATGAAAGCACATATCACAAAGAAGTTTCTCAGAATGTTTCTTTCTAGTTTTTTTGTGAAGATATTTCCTTTTTTACCATAGGCCTCAAAGCACTCCAAATATCCATCTGTAGATTCTACAAAAAGACTGTTTACAAACTGTCCAATCAAAAGAAGATTTCAACGCTGTGAGATGAATGCACGCATTACAAAGTTGTTTCTCAGAAAGCTTCTGTTTAGTTTTTATGTGAAGATATTTGCTTTTTCACCATAGGCCTCGAAACGCTCCAATTATCCATTTGCAGATTATGCAAAAAGAGTGTTTCCAAACTGCTCAGTCAAAAGAAATGCTTAACTCTTTGAGATGAAAGCACTCATTAAAAATAAGTTTCTCAGAAAGCTTCTGTCTAGCTTTATGTGAAGACATTTCCTATATCACCAAAGACCTCAATCGGCTGAGAAATATCCCTTTGGGGATTCTACAATAGGACTGTTTCCAAACTGCTCTAGCAAAGGAAAGGTTCAACTCTGTGAGATGAATGCAAGCATCACAAAATAGTTTCTCAGAAAGATTCTGTGTAATTTTTATGTGAAGATATTTCCTACTTCACCATAGGCCTCAAAGGGTTCACAATTATCCCTTTGTAGATTTTACAAAAATACTGTTTCCAAATCTTCAATCAAATAAATGTTCAACTGTGTGAGATGAATGAAAACCTCACAAAGAAATTTCACAGAATGCTTCCGTCGAATTTTTATGTAATGATATTTCCTTTTTTACCATAGGCCCCAAAGTGCTCTAAATATCCATTTGCAGATTCTACAAAAAGGTGGTTTCCAAACTGCTCAATCAAAAGAAAGGTTCAACTCTGTGAGATGGAAGCACACATCACAAAGAAGTTTCTTAGAAACATTCTGTCTAGTTTTTATGGGAAGATATTTCATATTTCACCATAGGCCTCAATGGGCTCAGAAATATACCTTTGCAGATTCTACAAAAGGATTGTTTACAAACTGCTCCATCCAAAGAAAGGTTCAACACTCTGAGATTAATTCACACATCACAAAGAAGTTTCTCAGAAATCTTCTGACTAGTTTTTATGTGAAGATATTTCTTTGTTCACCATAGGCCTCAAACTGCTCGCAAACATCCCTCTACAGATACTACAAAAAGACTGTTACCAAACTGTTTAATCAAAAGAAGGGATCAACTCTGTGTTATAAATGCACATGTCACCAAGAAGTTTCTCAGAATGCTTCTGTCTAGTTTTTATGTGAAGATATTTCCTTTCTCACCAAGACCTCAAACCACTCCAAATATCCATTTGCAGATGCTACAAAAAGATCATTTCCAAACTGCTCAATGAATAGAAAGGTTCAACTCTGTGAGATGAAAGCACACATCACAAAGAAGTTTCATAGAATGTTGCTTTCTAGTTTTTATGTGAAGATATTTCCTTTTTCACCATAGTCCTCATAGTGCTCCAAATATACACTGCAGAT
>NC_000014.9:16096630-16105376 GCF_000001405.40 Homo sapiens | reverse complement strand
ATGGAATGGAATCGAACGGAATGGGATTGAAAGGCATACAACATATGGAATCAAAAGGAATCATATGGAATCGATTGGAAACTAATGGAACGCGGTGAAGTAGAGTGTAGTGGAGTGGAATGAAGTGGAATGGAATTGGATGGAATGGAATTTAATAGAGTCGAGTGTATTGGAATGGGATGGAGTGGAATTAAATGGGAAGGGATTGAATTGAACGGAATTTAGTGGAGTGGAGTGGAGTGGAATGCAACGGAATGGAATGGAATGAAATGGAATGGAGTGGAGTGGAGTGGAATGGAAATTTTTGGAATGGAATGGACTGCAATGCAATGGAATAGAATGGAATGCAATGGACAGGATTGTGTTGAAATTGGGTGGAATGGACAGGACTGTAGTGGAATGGAAGGGAAAATAATGGAGCAAAATGGAATGGTAAGGAAGGGAATGGAATGGCATGGAATGGAATGGAGTGGAGTTGAATGGAATGGAATGGAATCGAATAGAAAGGACTCAAATGGAATGGACTGGAATGTAATAGACTCGAATGGAATGGAATCGAATGGAATGGATTCGAATGGAATGGAATCAAATGGAATGGAAACGTATGGAATGGAAACGTATGGAATGTAATTGAATGGAATGGAATCAATTGGCTTCAAATGGAATGCGGTGAAGTGTACAGGAGTGGAGTGGAATGGAGTGAAATGCAATGGGGTGGAACGCAATTGAATGGAGTGGAGTGGAGTGGAAGGGAATGGAATGGAATGAAATGGAATGGGAAGGAATGTAATTGAATGGAGTGGAGTGGAGTAGAGTGGACTGCAGTGGAGTAGAGTTTAAGTGGAGTGGAATGGAATGGATTGGAATGGAATGGATTGGAATGGAATGGAATGGAGTGGAGTGGAGTTGAGTGGAGTGGAAAGGAGTAGAGTGGACTGGAATGGAATGGATTGGAGTGGAACAGAGTACAGAGGAGTGGAATGGAATGGAATGGAAAAGAGTGGAGTGGAGTTGAGTGGAATGTACGGGAGTGGAGTGGAATGGAAATGATTGGAGTGGAGAGGAGGGAAACGGAGTAGAGTGGAGTTGAATGGAGTGGAGTGGAATGGAATGGAGTGGAGAGGAATGGAATGAAGTGTAGTGGAGTGTGGTGGAGTGCAGTGGAGTGGAGTGCAATGGAATGGAAAGGAATTTAGTGGAGTGGACTGGGATGGAATGGAATGGAGTGCAAAGGAATGGAATGCAGTGAAATGGAATGGAATCGAATGGAATGGAATGAATTGGAGTGGAGTGGAGTGAAGTAGAGTAGAATGGTGTGGAATGGAATAGAAAGGAATGGAACGGAATGAAATGGAATGGAATCGAATTGAGAGGAGTGGAGTGGAGTGGAGTGGAATGGAGTGGAATGGAATGGAATGGAACGGAATGGAAACAAATGGAATGGATTCCAAAGGAATGGAATTGAATGGAATGGAATCGAATGCAATGGAATGGAATGGAATGGAATAGAATGGAATGGAATCGAACAAAACGGAATTGCATGTTGTCTAACGGAATCGAAAGGAATGTGGTGAAGTGTAGTGGAGTGGAGTGTAATGGAGTGGAGTGGAGTGTAATGGAGTGGAATGGAATGCACTGCAATGGAATTGAATGGAATGGAGTGTAGTGGAATGGATTGAATGGAATGGGAAGGAATGGAATTGATTGGAGTGGTGTGGAGTAGAGTAGAATGGAATGGAATGGAATGGAATGGAATGGAATGGAATGGAATGGAAAGGAGTGGAATGGAATGGAGTGGAATGGAATGGAGTGGAATGGAATGGAGTGGAATGGAATGGAGTGGAGTGGAGTGGAATGGAATGGAATGGAAAGGAGTGGAATGGAATGGACTCGAATGAAATGGACTCTAACAGAATGAAATCAAATAGAATTTAATCAAATGGAAAGGAATAAAATGGAATGGAATGGAATCTAAAGAAATAGAATCTAATTGAATGGAATGCGTTGAAGTGTAGTGCATTGGAGTGGAATGGAATGAGGTGGAATGGATTTGAATTGAATGTAGTGGACAGTAGTGGATTGGTGTGGAAAGGAATGGAATGGGAAGGAATGGAATTGAACAGTGTGCAATGGAGTGGAGTGGAGTGGAGTGGAATGGAATGGAAAGGAATGGAATGGAGTGGAGTGCAATTTTGTGGAATGCAGTGGAGTGGAGTGAAATTGATGGGAATGCAATTGAGTGGATTTTAGTGTAAAGGAGTGGACTGGAATGGAAGGCAATGGAATTGATTGGGAACAAATGGAATTGAACAGAGTGTAGTGGAGTGGAGTGGAATGCAATGAAGGGAAAGGAGAGGAGTGGAATGGAATTGAATGGAATGGAATCGAATCGAATTGAATGGACTGGATTGGAATGGAATGGATTGGAATGGAGATCAACGGAAGGAAATCGAATGGAATGGACTCAAATGGAAAGGAATCGAATGGAACGTAACCGAGTGGAATGGAATCAAATGGAACGGAATCAAATGGAATGGAATTGAACGGAATGGAATCGAATGGAGTGGAATCGAATGGAATGCAATGGAATGGAATGGAATGGAATGGAATGGAATGGAATGGAATGGAATGGCATAGAATGGAATGAAATCGAATCAAATGGAGTCGAAACGAATGGCATTGAATGGAATCGAATGGAATGCGGTGAAGTGGAGTGGAGTGGAATGGAGTGGGATGGAATGGGAAATAATGGAATTGAAAGGAGTGGAGTGGGGAGGAGAGGAGTGGAATGCAATGGAAAGGAATGGGAAAGAATGGAATTGAAAGGAGCGGAGTGAGGTGGAGTGGAGTTGAGTGCAATGGAATGGAATAGAATGCAGTGCAGTGGAATGTATTGGAGTGGAGTGGTGTGGAGTGGAGTGGAGTGTAATGGCGTGGGATGCAGTGGAACGCAGTGTAGTGGAGTTTAGTAGAGTGGAGTGGAATCGAGTGTACTGGAATGGAGTGGAATGGAATGGACTCGAAAGAAATGAAATGGAATGGAATGGACTGGAATGGAATAGACGCCAATGAATTGGACACGAAAGGAATGGATTCAAAAGGAATGGAATGGCATGAACTGGACTCGAATGGGATGGACTCAAATGCAATGGACTCAAAAGGAATGGAATGGAATGGAAAGGAATTGAATGGAGTGGAATTGGAAAGGAATGGAATGGAATGGCATGAACTGGACTCGAATGGGATGGACTCAAATGCAATGGACTCAAAAGGAATGGAATGGAATGGAACGGAATGGAATGGAATGGAATGGAATGGAATGGAATGGAATGGAATGGAGTACGATGGAGTGGAATGGATTGGAATGGAGTTGAATGGAATGCAGTGGAGTGGAATTGAATGGAGTGTACGGAAGTGGATTGCAGTTGAGTGGAATGGAATGGAATGGAATGGAATGAAATGGACTCGAATGGAATGGACCCTAATGGAATAGACCAAAATGGAATGGACTCGAATAGAATGCACTCGAATGTAATGGAATAAAACTAAATGCAGTCGAATGGAAAGGAATCGAATGGAATGGAATCGAATGGAATGGAGTCGAATGGAATGGAACCAAATGGATTTGAATTGAATGGAATGGAATCGAAAGACATCAAAAGGAATCGAATGCAATGCAGTGAAGGGGAGTGGATTGCAGTGGAATGTAGTGGAATGGAATGGGTTGGAATGGAATTGAATGGATAAAACTGGAATGGAATGGAATGGAAGGAATGGAATTGAACGGAATGAAGTGCAGTGGAGTGAAGTGGAGTGGAATGCAATGGAATGGAATGGAATGGAGTGGAGTGGAGCTGAGTGGAATGCAACTGAATGGAATGGAATGGAGTGATGTGGAGTGGAGTCGAGTGGAATGGAGTGGAGTGGAAAGGAATGGACTAGAATGGAATGGAATGCATTTGAATGGAGTGGAATGGCATGGCGTGGAGTGGAATGGAATGGAATGGAGTGCAGATTGGAGTGGAGTGAAGTGGAGTGGAGGGCAGTGGAATGGAATCGAATGGAATGGAATAAAACGGAGTGCAGTGAAGTGGAGTGGAATGGAGTAGAATTGAACGGAATGGACTGGAATGGAATGGACTCGAATATAATGGAATGGAATGGAATGGATTGGAACGGAGTGGAATGGGAAGGAGTGGACTCGAATGGAATGGACTGGAATGGAATTGACTAGAATGGAATGGACTCAAATAGAATGGACTCGAATGCAATGGACTGTAATGGAATACAATCAAATGGAATGAACTCGAAAGGAATGGAATCAAGTGGAATGTAATCGAATGGAATCGAATCAAATGGAAGGGAATCGAATAGCATCGAATGGACTCGAATTTAATGCATTGATGTTGACTGGACTGGAGAGAAACGGAGTGGAATAGAACGAGGGGGAATGAAATTGAATGCAGTGGAGGGGAGTAGAGTGGAAGGGATTAGGAATGGAATGGAATGGGAAGAAAATGAATTGAACAGGGTGGAGTGGAGTAGATAGGAATGGAGTGGAGTAGAATCGAATGGAATGGAATGAAATGGAAAGCAAAGGAACTGAGTCGAGTCAAGTGGATTGGAATGGAATGGAGTGGAGTTGAATGGAATACAGTGTAGTGAAATGGAGTGTAGTGCAGTGGAATGGAATGGAATAGAATGGGATGGAATAAAATTGAGAGCAGTGGAGTGGACTGGAATGGGGTGAATTGGACTGGAATGGAGTGGAATGGAATGTGGTGAAGGGAATTGAATGTAGTGGAGTGGAGTGGACTGGAAAGGAGTGGAATGGAAAGCAATGGGAAGTAATGGAATTGAACGGAGTTGAGTGGAGTGCAGTTGAGTGGAATGGAATGGAATGGAAAGGAATGGAAAGGAATGGAATGGAAAGGAATGGAAAGGAATGGAAAGGAATGGAATGGAAAAGAAAGTAATGGAATGGAATGGAATAGAATGGAATGGAATGGTATGGTATGGAATGGAGTGACATGGTGGGGAATGGATTTGAATGGAATGGTGTGGAGTGGGATGGGATGAAGTGGACTGGATTGGAATGGAATGGATTGGAAAGGAATGGAATGGAATGGATTCGAATGGAATGGACAAGAATTTAATAGAATGGAATGGAATAGAATGGAATGGAATGGACTCGAATGGAATGGAATGGAATGGACTCGAATGGAATGGACTGGAATGGACTCGAATGGAATGGACTGGAATGGAATGAAATCGAGTGAAATGGAATCGAATGAAGTTGAATCAAACGGAATTTAATCAAACGGAATGAAACCAAATGGAATGGACTGGAATGGAATGAAATGGAAAGGAATGGACTCAAATGGAATATACTCGAATGGAATAAATCAAATGGCATGGAATCGAAAGGAATGGAATCGAATGGAATGGAATTGAATTGAATGGAATCGAATGGAATGGAATGGAATTGAATGGAATCGAATGGAATGGAATCGAATGGAATGTTATTGAATGACTTCTAATGGAATCCAATGTAATGTGATGAAGTGGAGTGTAGTGGAATGGAGTGGGATTGAAGGGGGTGGAATGAAATTGAATGCAGTGGAGTGGAGTGGCCAGCAATAGCGCGGAATGGAATGGAATGGGAAGGAATGGAATTGAATGGAGTGGAGTGGAGTCGAATGGAGTGGAGTGGAGTCGAATGAAATGGAATGGAATGTATTGGACAGTAGTGGAGTGGATTTCAGTGGAGTGGAATGCAATGGAATGGAATGGAGTGGAATGGAATGGAGTTCAGTGGAGTGGAGTGGAATGGAATTGAGTAGAGTGGAGTGAATTGGAGTGGAATGGAGTGGAATGGAATGGATTGGAGTGGATTGAAGTGTACTGGAATGGAATAGAGTGGAGTGGAGTGGAGTAGAATGAAACGGAATGGAATGGAAAGGAATGAATTGCAATGGAATAGACTTGAATTGAATGAACTGGAATGGAATGGACTGGAAACAAATGTACTCCAATGGAAGGGACTCGAATGGATTGTACTCGAATGGAATGGATTCGAATGGAAAGGAATCACATGGAATTTAATTGAAGGGAATATAATCGAATGGAACAGAATGTGTTGATGTGGAGTGGAGGGGAATGGATTGGAAGGGAATGGGGTGGAATGGAATTGAATGCAGTAAAGAGAAGAGTCTTGGAATGGATTGGAATGGAATGGGATGGAATGGAACTGAACAGAGGTGAGTGCAGTGGAGTGGAGTGGAATGCAATGGAATGGAATTGAACAGAGGTGAGTGGAGTGGAGTAGAGAGGAATGCAATGGAATGTAATGGAATGGAGTGGAGTGGAGTGGTGTGGAGTCGAATGCAATGGAGTGGAGTGGAGGGGAGTGGATAGGAATGGAATGGAATGGAGTGGAATGGAGTGGAGTGGAGTGGAATGGAATGGAATCGAATGGAATGGAGTGGAATGGAGTAGAGTGGGGTGGAATGGAATGAGATGGAATAGAATGGGAAGGAATGGAATTGAATAAAGGGGAGTGGAGTAGAGTGCAGGGGAATGCAATGGAATGGAATGGAATGGAATAGAGTAGGGTGGAGTGGAGTGGAATGGAATGCAATGGAATGGAATAAAGTGGAGTGGAGTGGAGTGGAAAGGAATTCAAAGGAATGGAATTGAATGGAATTGAAAGGAATCACTTGGAATGGAGTGGAATGCAGTCGAATGGACTGGAATGGAATGGACTCGAGTAGAATGGAATTGAATGGAATGGAATGGAATGAACTCAACTGGAATGGAATCAAATGGAATGGAATCGAAAGGAATGGAATCATATGGAATGTAAAGGAATGGAATGGAAGGGCAAGGAATGGAATGGAATGAAATGGAATGGAATGGAATGGAATGGAATGGAATGAAATGGAATGGAATGGAATGGAATGAAACGGAATGGAAAGGAATGGAATGGAAAGGAATGGACTCGAATGGAATGGACTGGAATGGAATGGAATTGAATGGAATGGAATAGAACGGAATGGATTCCAGTGGAAGGGAATCGAATGGAATGAAATTGAATGGAATGGACTGGAATGGAATGGACTGGAATGGAATGAACTGGAAAGGAATCGACTGCAATGGAATGTACTCGAATGGAATAAATTGAATGGCATGGAATCGAATGGATTGGAATCGAATGAAATGGAATTGAATGGAATGGAATCGAACGGAATGCAATCGAATGGATTGTAATTGAATGACCTCGAATGGAATCCAGTTGAATGTGGTGAAGTGGAGTGGAGTGGATTGGAGTTAAATTGAATGGGGTGGAATGGAATTGAATGCAGTGGAGTGGAGTGGAATGGAGGGAATGGAATGGAATGGGAATGAATGGAATTGAACGGAGTGGAGTGAAGTGGAGTGGAATGCCAGGGAATGGAATAGAATTAACTGGAGTGGAGTGGATTGGAGTGGGGTGGAATGCGATGGAATGGAATGTAGAGGAATGAAATGGAGTGCAGTTGAGTGGAGTGGAATCAAATTGAGTGGAGTGGAATGGAGTGTATTGGAGTGGAATCCAGTGGAATAGAATGGAATGGAGTACAGTGGAGTAGAGTGGAATGGAATGGAGTGGATTGGAGTGGAGTGGAGTAGAATGGAATGCAATGGAATGGAACGGAATGGAACGGAATAGAATGGAATGGAATGGAATGGAATGCAGTGGAATAGAATGGACTCAAATAGAATGAACTGAAATAGAATTAACTGGAAACCAATGTAATCCAATGGAAAGGACTCAAATGGATTGTACTCGAATGGATTGGAATCGAATGGAATGGAATCAAATGGAATGGAATTGAATGGAATTTAATTGAAGGGAATGTATTCGAATGGAACAGAATGTGGAGATGTGGAGTGGAGTGGAGGGGAACGGATTGGAAGGGAATGGGTGGAATGGAAATGAATGGAGTGGAGTGAACTGTCTTGGAATGGAGTGGAAATGAATTGAATGGGAAGGAATGGAATTGAAAGGAGGGGAGTGGAGTGGAGTGGAATGCAATGGAATGTAATGGAATGACGTGGAGTGGAGTGGAGTGGAATGCAATGGAGTGGAGTGGAATGGATTGGAGTGGAATAGAATGCAATGGAATGGAATGGAGTGGAATGGAAAGGAGTGGATTGGAGTGGAGTGCAGTGGAATGCAATCAAATGGAATGGAATGGGAAGTTATGTAGTTGAACAGAGGGGAGTGGAGTGGAGTGCAATGGAATGCAATGGGATGTAATGGAATGGAGTAGGGTGGAGTGGAGTGAATGGAATGCAATGGAATGGAATGGAGTGGAACGCAGTGGAGTGGATTGGAATGTAGTGGAGTAGAGTAGAGTGGAGTGGTGTGGAATGGAGTGGAGTGGAGTGGAAAGGAGTGAAGTGGAATTGAGTGGAATGGATATTATGGCAGTGGAGTGGATTGGAGTGGAACGGAGGGGTAAGGAGTGGTTTGGAGTGGAATGGAGTGGAATAGAGCGGACTCTAGTGGAGTGGAAGAGAGTGGAATGGAATGGAATGGAGTGGAATGGAATGGAATGGAGTGGAATGGAAGGGAATGGAATGGAATGGACTCGAATGGAAAGGACTGAAATAGAATGGCGTGAAATGGAATGGACTCAAATGGAATGAATCGAATGGAATGGAATCAAAAGGAAAGTAATCAAATGGAATGGAATCAAAT
>NC_000014.9:16089562-16096530 GCF_000001405.40 Homo sapiens | reverse complement strand
TAAAATATCAAAAAGTACACCAAATATATATTATATACTGTATATAAAATATCAAAGTACACCATTTACGTATTATATACTGTACACAAAATATCAAAGTACACATAATACATATAATATACTGTACACAAAATATCAAAGTACACAAAATTCATATTATATACTGTATATAAAATAACAAATTACACCAAATACATATTATATACTGTACATAAAATATCAAAGTACACCAAATACACATTATATACTGTACATAAAATATGAAAGTACATCAGATACATATTATATACTGGACATAAAACATCAAAGTACACCAAATACATATTATATACTGTAAATAAAATATCAATATGTACACCAATTACATATTATATACTGTATATAAAATATCAACAATTACTACCAAATACATATTATATACTGTACATAAAATATCAAAATGTGCACCAAATACATTTCTTATACTGTACATAAAATAACAAAATGTATACCAGATACATGCTATTTAATGTACATAAAATATCAAAAAGTACACCAAATATATATTGTATACTGTATATAAAATATCAAAACACAGAAATTACCTATTATATACTGTACATAAAATATCAATGTACACCTAAAACATTTTACATACTGCACATAAAATAACAAATTACACAAGAGACATATTATATACAGTACATAAAATATCAAAGAACACAAAATACATATTATATACTATACACAAAATATCAAACTACACAAAATGCCTATTATATACTGTATTTAAAATATCAAAGTACACCAAATACGTGTTATATACTGTACAAAAAATATCAAAGCACACCAAATACATATTATATACTACACATAAAATATCAAAACATACCAAATACATATTTAATACTGTGCATAAAATATCAAAATACACAAAATAAATATTATCTACTGTGCATAAAATATCAAAGTACACAAAAATCATATTATATACTGTACACAAAATATCAAAGTACACAGAATACATATTATATACTGCAGGTAAAATATCAAAGCCCGCCAAATACATATTATATACTGTACATAAAATATCAAAAAGTACACCAAATACATATTATATACTGTACATAAAACATCAAAAAGTACACCAAAAACATATTATATACAGTACATAAAATATCAAAAATACACCAAATACATATTATATACTCTACATAAAATATCAAATAGTACACCAAATACATATTATATACTTTAGAGAAAATATAAAATATACACCAAATAGATATTGTATATTGTACATAAAATATCAAATTTCACACAATACTTATTATATACTGTATATAAAAAATCAAAGTACATCAAATTCATTTTACATACTGTACATATAATATCAAAGTACATAAAATACATATTATATACTTTACATAAAATATCAATGTACACAAAATACATACTATATACTGTACACATAATAACAAAGTACGCAGAATACATATTATATACTGCAGGTAAAATAAAGTATGCAAAATACATATTATATACTGTACATAAAACATCAAAGTACACAAAATTCATATTATATACTGTACATAAAATATCAAAGTACACCAAATACATATTATATAATGTACATAAAATATCAAAAAATACACCAAAAACATATTATATACTCAACATAAATTATCAAAGTACACTAAATACATATTATATACTGTACATAAAATGTCAAAAAGTACACCGAATACCTATTATATTCTGTACATAAAATATCAAAAATTATACAAAATACATATTATCTGCTGTTCATAAAATATCAAAAAGTACACCAAATACATATTATATACTGTACATAAATTATCAAATAGTACACCAAATACATATTTTATACTGTACAAAAAATATGAAAATGTAAACCAAATATATATTATATACTGTACATAAAATATCAAATTGTACACCAAATACATATTGTAAACTGTACATAAAATATCAAAAAGTACACCAAATAAATATTATATACTGTACATAAAATATCAAAAACTACAGCAAATACATATGATATACTGTACATAAAATATCCTAAAGTACTCCAAATACATATTACATACTGTACATAAAATAACCAAAAGTACACCAAATACACATTATATACTGTACATAAAATATCCAAAATTTCACCAAATACATATTATATACTGTACATAACATATCATAATGTACACGAAATACATATTATATACTGTATATAAAATATCCAAAGGTACACCAAATATATATTATATACTGTACATAAAATATCAAAAAATACATCAAATATATAGTATATACTCGGCATAAAATATCAAAAAGTACACCAAACATATATTTTATACAGTACATAAAATATCAAAAGTACACCAAATACATATAATATAATGTACATAAAATATCACAAATTACAACACATACTTATTATATACTGTACATAAAATATCAAAAAGTACACCAAATATATATTATATACTGCAAAAAAATATAAAAAAGTACACAAAATACATATTACATAGTGTACATATAGTATCAAAAAGTATACCAAATACTTATTCTATACTGTACATAAAATACCAAGTAGTACACAAAATACATATTATACACTGTATATAAAATATGAAATTACACCAAACAAATATATTATACTGTACATAAAATATCAAAAAGTACACCAAATACATATTATATTCTGTACATAAAACATAAAATAGTATACCAAATAGATATTATATACAGTAAATAAAATATGAAAAAGTACACCAAATATATATTATATATTGTAAATGAATTATGAAAGTACACCAAATACATATTATATACTGTACATAAAATATCACAAATTACAACAAATAGTTATTGTATACTGTACATAAAATAACAAAGTACACCAAATACATTTTAGATACTGTACATATAATATCAAAGTACACAAAATATATATTATATAATGTACATAAAAAATCAGTGTACACAAAATACATATAAAATGTACAAAAAATATCAAACTACAGAAAATACATATTACATACTGTAAGTAAAATATCAAAGTATGCCAAATTCATATTATATACTGTAAATAAAATATCAAAGTACACCAAATACTTATTATATACTGTACATAAAATATGAAAGTACACCAAATACATATTGTATACTGTACATAAAATATCAAAGTACACCAAGTACATATTATAAAGTGTACATAAAATATCAAAGCACGCTAAATACATATTATATACTGTATGTAAAATACCAATAAGTACATGAAATACATATTAAATACTGTACATAAAATATCAAAAAGTACACCAATACATATGATATACTGTATGTAAAATAACAAAATGTAAACCATATATATTATATACTGTACATAAAATATCAAAGTACAAAAAATATATATTATATACTGTACACAAAATATCAAAGTACACCGAATACATATTATATACTGTACATAAAATATCAAAAAGTACACCAAATACATATTGTATACCATACATAAAATATCAAATACTATACCAAATACATATTGTATACTGTACAAAAAATATCAAAAACTATACCTAATACATATATTATACCGTACATAAAATGTCAATTACTACACCAAATACATATTATATACTGTACATAAAATACGAAATAGTACACCAAATACAAATTATATATTGTCCATAAAATATGAAAAACTACAACAAATACATATTATGTACTCTACATAAAATATCAAAAAGTACAGCAAATACATATTATATACTGTACATAAAATATCAAAAAATACAACAAATACTTATTATATACTGTACATAAAATGTCAAATACAAGAAATTCATATTATATAGTGTACATAAAATATCAAAGTTCACCAAATACATATATACTGTACATAAAATATCAAAATAAACCAAATACATATTATATACTGTACATAAAATATCAAAGTACACCAAATACATAGTATATACTGTACATAAAATATCAAAGTACACCAAATACATTTTAGATACTGTAGATACAATATCAAAGTACACAAAATACATATTATATATTGCACATTAAATATCAACGTACACAAAATGCATATTATATGCTGTACACAAAATATCAAAGTCCACAAAATACATATTATATGCTGTACAAAAAATATCGAAGTATGCCAAATACATACTGTATAGTGTACATAAAATATCAAAGTACACCAAATATATATTATAAAAAGAGGATAAAATATCAAACTACACCGAATACATATTATATACTGTACATAAAATATGAAAGTACAAGTACATATTATATACTGTACATATAATATCAAAGTACACCAAATACATATTATATACTTTAAATAATATACCAAAGTACACCAAATACATATTATATACTGTATATAAAATATCAAAAAGTCCACCAAATACATATTATATATTTTACATAAAATATCAATATTACACCAAATACATATTATATACTGTACATAATATATCAAAAGTACACCAATGCCTATTATATACTGCACATAAAATATCAAGAAGTACACCTAATACATATTATATACTGTACATAACATATCAAAAAGGACACCAAATACATATTGATAGTGTACATAAAATATAGAATAGTACACCAAATACATATTATATACTGTACATAAAATATCAAAAAGTACACCAAACACATATTATATACTGTACATAAAATATCAAAAAGTACACCAAAAACATTTCAGTCCTATGGTGAAAAAGGAAATATCTTCACATAAAAACCAGACAGTAGCATTCCTAGAAACTATTTTGTTATGTATGCATTAATCTCATGGTGTTGTACCTTTCTTTTGATTGAGCAGTTTTGAAACACACTTTTTGCAGTATCTGCAAGGGGATACTTGGAGCGCTTTGAGGCCTATGGTGGAAAAGGAAGTATGTTCACATAAAAACCAGACAAAATCATTCCTAGAAACTACTTTGTTATGTGTGCATTAATCTCATGGTGTTGTACCTTTCTTTTGATTGAGTAGTTTTGAAACACACTTTTTGCAGAATCTGCAAGGGGATACTTGGAGCACTTTGAGGTCTATGGTGGAAAAGGAAGTATCTTCACATAAAAACCAGACAGAAGCATTCCTAGAAACTACTTTGTTATGTGTGCATTAATCTCATGGTGTTGTACTTTTCTTTTGATTGAACAGTTTTGAAACACACTTTTTGCAGAATCTGCAAGGGGATACTTGGAGCGCTTTGAGGCCTACAGTGGAAAAGGAAGTATCTGCATATAAAAACTAGACAGACACTTTCTGAGAAATTTCTTTGTGATGTGTGCTTTCATCTCACAGAGTTGAACCTTTCTTTTGATTGAGCAGTTTGGCACCAGTCTTTTTGTGGTATCTGCAAATGGATATTAGCAGCCCTTTGAGACATATGGTGAAAAAGGAAATATCTTCCCATAAAAACTAGTCAGAAGCATTTTGAGAATCCTCTTTGTGATGTGTGCATTTATCTCACAGAGTTAAACCTTTCTTTTTATGGAGTAGTTTGGAAACAGTCTTTTTGTAGTATCTGCAAATGGTAATTTGAGCGCTTTGAGGCCTATGTTGGAAAAAGAAATATCTTCACGTTAAAACTAGACCGAAGCTTTCTGAGAAACTTATTTGTGATGTGTGCATTCATCTCACAGAGTTGAACGTTTCTTTTGATTGAGCAGTTTTGAAACACTCTCTTTATACTATCTGCAAATGGATATTTGGAGTGCTTTGAGTCCTATAGTGGAAAAGGAAATATCTTCACAGAAAATCTAGAAAGAAGAATTCTGAGAAACTTCCTGGTGATGTGTGCTTTCATCTCACACTGTTAAACCTTTCTTTTAATTGAGCAGCTTTGATACAGTCATTTTGTCGAATCTGAAATGTAATATTTGTGAGCCCTTTGAGGCCTCTGGGGAAATAGGTAATATCTTCACATAGAAACTAGACCAAAACTTTCTGAGAAACTTTCTTGTGATATGTGCATGCGTCACACAGAGGTGAACTTTCTTTTGATTGGGTAGTTTGTAAACACTCATTTGCAGTATCAGCAAATGGATATTTATAGCGTATTGAGGCCTTTGGTGAAAAAGGAAATATCTTCACATAAAAATCAGACAGAAGCATTCTGGGAAACTTCTTTGTAATGTGTGCATTCATCTCACAGGCTTCAACCTTTCTTTTGATTGAGCAGTTTTGAAACAGCCTTTTTTTAGAATCTGCAAGTGGATATTTGGAGCACTTTGATTCCTATAGTGGAAAACGAAATATCTTCACACAAAAACTAGACAGAAGCATTCTGAGAAACTTCTACCTGATATGTGCATTGACCTCACAGGGTTGAACGTTTCTTTTGATTAAGCAGTTTGGAAACAGTCATTTTGTAAAATCTACAAAGGGATATTTGTGAGCCCTTTGAGGTCTCTGGGGAAATAGGAAATGTCTTCACATAAAAACTAAAGAGAAACTTTCTGAGAAAATTCTTTGCGATATGTGCTTTCATCTCACAGAGTTGAACGTTTCTTTTGATTGAGAAGTATTGAAACACTGTTTTTGTAGAATCTGCAAATGGTTATTTGAACACTTTGAGATGTATGGTGAAAATGGAAATATCTTCACATAAAAATTAAACAGAAGCTTTCTATGAAACTTCTTTGTGATGTATGCACTCATCTCACAGAGTTCAACCTTTCTTTTGATTGAGCAGTTTGGAAACAGTCTTTTTCTACAATCTGCAAAGGGATATTTCTTAGCCGTTTGAGGCCTCTGCTTAAGAAGTAATATCTTCACATAAAAACTAGACAGAAGCTTTCTTAGGAACTTCTTTTTTATGTGTGCTTTCACCTCACAGAGCTGAACTTTTCTTTTGATTGAGCAGTTTGGAAAGAGTCTTTTTGTAGTATATGTGGAGTGATATTTGTGAGTGTTTTAAGGCCTA
>NC_000014.9:16061993-16086625 GCF_000001405.40 Homo sapiens | reverse complement strand
TTCATCTGACAGAGTTCAAACTTTGTTTTGATTGAGTAGTTTGGAAACAGTCTTTTTGTAGGATCTGCAAAGGGATATTTCTGAGCCCATTGAGACCTATGGTGAAAGAAGAAATATCTTCACTTAAAAACTAGACAGAAGCCTTCTGAGAAGCTTCTTAGTGATGTGTGCTTTCGTCTCACAGATTTGAGCCTTTCTTTTGATTGAGCAGTTTGGAAACAGTCTTTTTGTAGAATCTGCAAAGGATATTTTGAGCGCTTTGAGGCCTATGGTGAAAAAGGACATAACTTCACATGAAATCTAAACAGAAGCTTTCTGAGAAACTTCTTTTTGATGAGTGCATACATCTCACAGAGATGAAACTTTCTTTTCATTGAGCAATTTGGAAACAGTCTTTTTATGAAATCTGCAAAGGGATATTTCTGTGAAGTTGGAGGCCTATGGTGAAAAAGAAATATCTTCAGATAAAATGTAGACAGAAGTATTCTGAGAAACTTTTTTGTGATTTATCCAGTCATCTCACAGAGTTGAACTTTTCTTTTGATGGAGCAGTCTGGAAACAATCCTTTTGTAGTATCTACAGAGAGATATGTGAGAGTGGTTTAAGGCCTATGGTGAAAAAGGAAATATCTTCACATAAAAACCAGCTAGAAGCATTCTGAGAAACTTCTTTGTGTTGTATGCATTCATCTCAAAGAGTTGAACCTTTCTTTAGATTGAGCAGTTTGGAAACAGTCCTTTTGTAGAATCTGCAAAGGGATATTTCTGAGCCCATTGAGGCCTATGGATGAAATAGGAAATATCTTCACATAAAAACTAGACAGAGGATTTCTGAGAAACTTCTTTGTGATATGTGCTTTCATCTCACAGAGTTGAACCATTCTTTTGGTTGAGCAGTTTGGAAACAGTCTTTTTGTAGGATCTGCAAAGGGATATTTCTGTTCCCATTGATGTCTATGGTGAAAAAGGACATATCTTCACATAAAAGCTAGACAGAAGATTTCTGATAAACTTCTTAGTGATGTGAGCTTTCATCTCACAGATTTGAACCTTTCTTTTGATTGAGAAGTTTGGAAACAGTCTTTTTGTACAATCTGCAAAGGATATTTTGAGCACTTTGGAGCCTATGGTGAAAAATGACATATCTTCACACGAAATCTAAACAGAAGCTTTCTGAGAAACTTCTTTTTGATGTGTGCATACATCTCACAGTGTTGAAAGTTTCATTTCATTGAGCAGTTTGGAAACAGTCTTTTTGTACAATCTGGAAAGGGATATTTCTGCGAAGTTGGAGGCCTATATCGAAAAAGAAATATCTTCACATAAAAACTAGACAGAAGTATTCTGAGAAACTTCTTTGAGATGTATCCTTTCATTTCACAGAGTTGAACCTTACTTTTGATGGAGCAGTTTGGAGACAGTCTTTTTGTAGTATCTGCAGAGAGATATCTGAGAGCAGTTTAAGGCCTACGGTGAAAAAGGAAATATCTTCACAAAAACCTAGGCAGAAGCATTCTGAGAAACTTCTTTGTGATGTATGCATTCATCTCAAAGAGGTGAAACTTTCTTTGGATTGAGCAGTTTGGAAACAGTCCTTTTGTAGAATCTGCAAAGGGATATTTCTCAGCCCATTGAGGCCTATGGTGAAATAGGAAATATCTTCCCATAAAAACCAGACAGAAGCTTTCTGAGAAACTTCTTTGAGATATGTGCTTTCATCTCACAGAGTTGAACCTTTCTTTTAGTTCAGCAGTTTGGAAACAGTCTTTATGTAGAATCTTCAAAAGGCTATTTGTGAGCCCTTTCTGGACTATGGTGAAACAGAAAATACCTTCACATAAAAATTAGACAGAAGCTTTCTGAGAAACTTCTTTATGATGTGTTCTTTCACCTCACAGAGTTGTAACTTTCCTTTGATTGAGCAGTTTGGAAACACTCTTTTTGTAGAATCTGCAAATGGATATTTGGAGTGCTTTGAGGCCTATGGTGAAAAAGGAAATATCTTCACATAAAAACTAGACAGAAGCATTCTGAGAAACTTATTTGTCCTGTGTGCATTCACCTCACAGAGCTGAACCTTTCTTTTGAAGGAGCAGATTGGAAACAGTCTGTTTGCAGTATCTGAGGAGGTATATGTGTGAATGGTTTAATGCCTATGGTAAAAAAGGAAATATCGTCACATAAAAACTAGACAGAAGCATTCTGAGAAACTTCTTTGTGACGTGTGCTTTCCTCTGAGAGAGTTGAACCATTCTGTTGATTGAGCAGTTTGGAAACAGTCTTTTTCAATTATCTGCAGAGGGATATTTGTCAGCGATTTGAGGCCTAAGGTGGAAAAGGAAATATCTTCACATGAAAGCTAGACAGAAGCATTCTGAGAAATTTCCTTGTTATGTGTCCATTCGTCTCACAGGGATGAACCTTTCTTTTGATTGAGCGATTCAGAAACAGTATTTTTAAAATCTGCAATGGGATATTTGTGAGCCCTTTGTGGTCTATGATGAAGTAGGAAATATCTTCACATAAAAACTACACAGAAGCTTTCTTAGAAACTTCTTTTATATGTGTGCATTCATCTCACAGAGTTGAACTTTTTTATGATGAAGCAGTTTGGAAACAGTCTTTTTGTAGAATCTGCAAATGGATATTAAGAAAACTTCAGGCCTTTGGTGAAAATGAAATATCTTCACATGAAAACTAGAAGGAATATTTTTGAGTAAACACTTTATGTTGTTTGCATTCATATCACAGATTTGAAATTTTCTTTTAATTGAGCAGTTTGGAGACCGTCTTTTTGTAGAATCTGCAAAGGGATATTTCTGATAGGTTTTAGGCTTACAGTGAAAAAGAAATATTTTCACATAAAAGCTAGACAGAAGCATTCTGAGAAACTTCTTTTTATGTGTGCATTCTTCTCACAGATGGGAACCTTTCTTTTCATTGAGCATTTCAGGAACAGTGTTTTTGTAGAATCTGCAGAGGGACATTTCTGACCCCTTTGAGGCCTAAAGAGGAAATAGGAAAAATCTTCACATAAAAACTAGACAGAAGTATTCTGAGAAACTTTGATGTGTTATGTGCTTTCATCTCACAGAGTTGAACGTTTCTTTAGATTGAGCAGATTGGAAACAGTCTTTTCAGAGGATCTGCAAATGGATATCTGGAGAGCTTTGAGACCTATGGTGCAAAAGGAAATATCTTCATATAAAACTAGACACAAGCATTCTGAGAAACTTCTTTGTGATGTGTGCATTCAACTCAAAGAGTTGAACATTTCTTTTGATTGAGTAGTTTGGAAACACTCTTTTTGTAGAATCTGCAAGTGGATATTTGGAGCGCTTTGAGGACTATAGTGGAAAAAGAAATATCTTCACATAAAAACTAGACAGAAGCATTCTGAGAAACTTCTTTGTGATGTGTGCATTCACCACAAAGAGTAGAACGTTTCTTTGGATTGAGCAGTTTGGAAACAGTCCTTTGTAGAATCTGTGAAGGGATATTTCTCAGCCCATTGATGCCTACAGATGAAATAGGAAATATTCTCACATAAAAACTAGACAGAGGATTTCTGAGAAACTTCTTTGTGATATGTGGTTTCATCTCACAGAGTTCAACCATTTTTTTTGTTGAGCAGTTTGGAAACACTCTTTTTGTAGAATCTGCAAGTGGATATTTGGAGCACATCGAGGCCTATGGTGGAAAACAAAATATTTTCACATAAAAATTAGACAGAAGCATTCTGAGAAACTTCTTTGTGATGTGTGCATTCAACTCACAGAGTTGAACCTTTCTTTTGATTCAGCAGTTTTGAAACCCTCTTTTTGTAAAATCTATCAGTGGTTCTTTGGAGCGCTTTGAGGCTTATGGTGGAAAAGGAAATATCTTCACATAAATAGTAGACAGAAACATTCTGAGAAACTTATTTGTGATGTGTGTATTCAACTCACAGAGTGGAACCCTTCTTTTGATTGAGCAGTTTTGAAACACTCCTTTTGTAGAATCTGCAAGTGGATATTTGGAGTGCTTTGTGGTCTTAAGTGGAAAAGGCAATATCTTCACATAAAAACTAGACAATAGAATTCTGAGAAACTTCTTTGTGATGTGTGCATTCATCTCACAGAGTTGAAGCTTTCTTTCAATTGAGCAGCTTTGAAACACTCTTTTTGTAGAATCTCCAATTGGATATTTGGAGCACTTTGATGCCTATGGTGGAAAAGGAAATATCTTCACATAAAAAATACACAGAAGCATTCTCACAAATTTGTTTTTGATGTGTGTATTCAACAAATAGAGTTGAACCTTTCTTTTGATTGAGCAGTTTTGAAACACACTTTTTTTAGGATCTGCAAGTGGATATTTGGAGCGTTTTGAGGCTTATGGTGGAAAAGGAAATATCTTCACATAAAAACTACAGAGAAGCATTCTGACAAAATTCTTAGTGCTGTGTCTGTTCAACTCACAGAGTTGAACCTTTCTTCTGATTGAGCAGTTTTGAAACACTCTTTTTTTAGAATTTGCAAGTGGATATTTCAAGCACTTTGTGGCCTCTGTTGGAAAAGGAAATATCTTCACATAAACTAGACAGAAGCATTCTGAGAAATTTCCTTGTGATGTGTGCCTTCATCGCACAGAGTTGAACCTTTCCTTTGATTAAGCAGTTTTGAAACACTCTTTTAGTGGAAAAGGAAATATCTTCACATAAAAACTAGACTGAAGCATTCTGAGAAACTTCTTTGTGATGTATGCATTCATCTCACAGAGTTGAACTTTCTTTTTGTTGAGCAGTTTTGAAACACTCTTTTGGTAGAATCTGCCATTGGATATTTGGAGTGCTGTGAGGCCTATGGTGGAAAAGGACATATCTTCACATAAGAACTATAAAGCAGGTTCTCTAAAAACAACCTTGTGATGTGTGCATTCATCTCACAGAGGTAAATGATTTTTCTCTGATCAGTCTGGAAACTCTGTTCTTGTACAATCTCAAAAGGGGTATTTTTGAGCACTTTGAGGCCTATTGTGACAAATGAAATATCTTCACATTCAAAGTATAAAGAAAGTTTCTGAGATACTTCTTTGTGATATGTGCATTCATCTCACAGATTTGAACCTCTCTTTTAATTCAGCCATTTGGACACAGTCTTTTTGAAGAATCTGCAAATGGATATTTGTGAGCACTTTGAGGCCTATGCAGGAAAATAAGTATCTTCACAGAAAACTGTAAAAAAGGTTTCTGAGAAACTGTTTTGTGATGTGTGTCTTCATCTCACAGAGGTAAAAGATTCTTTTCTTTGATCAGTTGGGAAACTCTGTTCTTGTAGAATCTGCTAAGGGACATTTGTGAGTGCCTAGAGCCTTATGGTAAAAAAGATATTGTCTTCACATAAAAACCAGACAGAAGCCTACTGAGAAACTCCTTGGTGATGTGTGCATTGATCTCACAGAACTGAAACTTTCTTTTGATTGATCAGTTTGGAAACGTCTTTTTGTGGAATCTGTAAAGGGATATTTCTGAGCACTTTGAGGCCTATGGTGAAAGAGAAATTATCTTCACATAAAAACTAGACTAAATATTTCTGAGAAACTGCTTTGTGATGTATGCATTCATCTCACAGAGTGCACCAATTCTTTGGATTGAGCAGTTGGGAAACCATCTTTTTGTAGAATCTGCAAAGGGTTTTGTGAGTGCTTTGAGGTCTATGGTTAAAAGGAAATATCTTCACATAAAAACTATAAAGAAGGTTTGTGAGAAACTTCTTTGTGATGTGTGCATTCATCTCACAGAGTTGAACCATTCCTTTGACTCAGCAGTTTGGAAACAGTCTTTTTTTAGGATCTGCAAAGGGATATTTTTGAGCACTTTGAGGCCCATGGTGAAAAAGGAAACACTTACACATAAAAACAAGATAGAAGCTTTCTAAGAATCATCTTTTTGATATGTGCGTTCATCCCACAGAGGTGAAACTTTCTTTTGATGAGCATTTTGGAAACAGTATTTTGTAGAATTTCCAAATGGTTATTAGTTCACGCTTTGTGTCCTATGTTGGAAAAGGAATTATCTTTACATAAAAACTAGAGAGAATATTTCTGAGAAACTGCTTTGTGATGTGTGCTTTCATCTCACAGAGGTAACCATTTCTTTTCATTGAACAGATTGGAAATTCTGTTCCTGTAAAATTTGCAAAGAGATATTTATCAGCACTTTGAAGCCTATGGTGAAAAAGGAATTATCTTCATGTAAAAACTAGACAGAAGCTTTCTGTGAAACATCTTGGAGATGTGAGAATTCATCTCACAGAGTTGAAACATTCTCTTGATTGGGCAGTTTGTAAACAGTATTTTGGTAGAATCTGCAAAGGGACAATTTTGAGCGCTTTGCATCCAGTGTTGAAAAAGGAAATACCTTCACATAAAAACTAGACAGAATGTTTCTGAGAAACTGCTTTGTGATATGTGCATTCATCTCCCAGATGTGTCTGTTTCTTTTCATTGAGAAGATTGGAAACTCTTTTCTGGTAAAATCTGCAAAGGGATATTTGTGAGCCCTTTAAGGCATATGGTGAAAAAGGAAATATCTTTACATAAAAACTACACAGAAGTTTCTGAGAAACATTGTGGCAATGTGAGCATTCATCTCACAGAGTTGAAACATTCTTTTGATTGAGCAGTGTGTAACAAGTCTTTTTGTGGAATCTGCAAAGGGATATTTGTGAATGCTTTGAGGCCTATGGTGAAAAAGGAAATATCTTCACATAAAACATAGAGAGAAGCTTTCTGAGAAACCTCTTTGTGGTGTGCATGCATCTCACAGAGTTGAACCTTTCTTTTGATTGAGCAATTTAGAAAAAGTATTTTTGTAGAATCTGTAAAGGGATATTTGTGAGCACTTTGAGGCCTATGGTGAAAAAGCAAGTGTCTTCACATAAAATCTAGACAGAAGCATTCTGAGAAACTTCTTTGTGATGTGTGCATTCATCACACAGAGTTGAACCTTTGTTTTGATTGAGCAGTTTGGAAACAGTCTTTTTGTAGAATCTGCAAATGGATATTTTGAGTGCTTTGAGGCCTATGGTGAAAAAGGAAATATATTCACATAAAAACTAGACTGAACGTTTCTGAGAAACTTCTTTGAGATGTGTGCATTCATCTCACAGTGTTCAAAAATTCTTTTTATTGAGCAGTTTGGAAACAGTCTTTTTGTAGAATCTGCAAAGGGATATTTGTGAGAGCTTTGAGGCCTATGGTGAAAAAGGAAATATCTTCAAAGAAAAACTATAAAGAAAGTTTCTGAGAAACTTCTTTGGATGTGTGCATTCATCTCACAGAGTGGAAACATTCTTTGGATCAAGCAGTTTGGAAACGTCTTTTTGTACAATCTGCAAAGGGATATTTAGGAGCGCATTGAGGCCTATGGTGAAAAAGGAAATATCTTCACATAAAAACTAGAAAGAAGCATTCTGAGAAGCTGCTTTAAGATATGTGTATTCATCTCGCAAAGGTAAATGTTACTTTTCATTGAGCAGTTTGTAAACACTGTTATTCTAGAATCTGCAAAGGGAAATTTTTGAGTGCTTTGAGACCCACGATGAAAAAGGAACTATCTTCACATAAAAACTAGTGAGAGGCTTTCTGAGAAACTACTTTCTGATGTGTGCATTCATCTAACAGAGTTGAAACTTTCTTTTGATTGAGCAGTTTGGAAATAGTCTTTTTGTAGTTTCTGCAAAGGTATATTTGGGAGTGAGTTGATGCCTATGTTCAAAAAGGAAATATCTTCACAAAAAAGCGAGAAGGAAGTTTTCTGAGAAACTTCTTTGTGATGTGCACATTCGTCTCACAGGGTTGAACTATTCTGTTTATTGAGCAGTTTGGAAACAGTCTTTTCATAGAATCTGCAAAGGGATATCTGGGAGCACATTGAGGCATATGGTGAAAAAGGAAATATCTTCACATAAAAGTAGAAAGAAATTTTCTGAGTAGTTCCTTTGTGACATGTGCATTCATCACACAGAAGTAAAAGTTTCTTCCCATTGAGCAGTTAGTTTTTATGTGAAGATATTTCCATTTTCAACATAGACCTCAAACCACCTACATATATCCCTTTGCAGATTCTACAAAAAGACTGTTTCCAAAAGGCTCAAAGAAATCTTCCACTCTGCAAGATGAATGCACACATCACAGAGAAGTTTCTCAGAAAGTTTCTGTCTAGTTTTTATTTGTTGATACTCCCTTTTTCACCATAGGCCTCAAACTACTCATAAATAACCCTTTGCATATTCTACAAAAAGACTGTTTCCAAACTACTGAATCAAAAGAAAGGTTCAAATCTGTGAGGTGAATGCACACATCACAAAAAAAGTTTCTCAGAAAGCTTCTATCTAGCTTTTATTTGAAGATGTTTCCTTTTTCAATATAGGCCTCAAAGTGCTCACAAATGTCCCTTTACGGATTTTACAAAAAGACTGTTGCACACTTCACAAAGAAGTTTCTCAGAAAGCTTCTGTCCAGTTTTTATGTGAAGATATTTCCTTTTTCACCGTAAGTCTCAACGCATTCAAATTATCACTTTGAAGATTCTACAAAAAACATTTTCCAACCTGCTCTATCTAAAAAAGGTTCAACTCTGTGAGAAGAATGCACACATCAAAAATAAATTTCTCAGAATGCTTCTGTCTAGTTTTTATGTGAAGATATTTCCTTTTTAACTTTTCTCCACAAACTGCTCACAAATATCCCTCTGCATATTCTACAAAAAGACTGTTTCCAAACTGCTCAATCAAAAGAAAGTTTCAACTCTGTGAGATGAATGCACAAATCACAAAGAAGTTTCTCAGAAAGCTTCTGTCTAGTTTTTATGTGAAGATACTTCCTTTTTCACCATAGGCCTCAAAGCCCACCAAATATCCTTTTGCAGATTCTACAAAAAGATTGTTTCCAAACTGCTCAATCAAAAGAAAGTTTCAACTCTGTAAGATGAACACACATATCACAAAGAAGTTACTCAGAAAGTTTCTGACAAGTTTTTATGTGAAGATATTTCCTATTTCACCATAGGCCTCAAAGGGCTCAAAAATATCCCATTTCAGCTTCTGCAAAAACACTGTTTGCAAACTGCTTAATGAAAACAAAAGTTAGTCTCTGTGAGATGAATGCACACGTCACAAAGAACTTTCTCAGAATGCTTCTGTCTAGTCTTTATGTGAAGATAGTTCCTTTTTCACCATAGGCCTCAAACTGCTCAAAAATATCCCTCTGTAGATCCTACAAAAAAAGTGTTTCCATACTGCTCAATCTAAAGAAACTTTCAACTCTGTGAGATGAATGCACACATCAGAAAGAAGTTTGTCAGGAAGCTTCTGTCTAGTTTTTATTCGAAGACACTTCCTATTGCACCCTAGGATCAAATTGCTCCAAATCTCCATTTGCATTTTCTACAAAAAAGACTGTTTCCAAACTGCTCAATCAAAAGAAAGGTTCAACTCTGTGAGATGAATGCACACATCACAAAGAAGTTTCTCAGAATGCTTCTGTCTAGTTTTTATGTGAACATATTTCCTTTTTCAACATAGGCCTTAAACTGCTTACAAATATCCCTCTGCAGATACTCAAAACAGACTGTTTCCAAACTGCTCAATCAAAATAAAGGTTCAACTCTGTGAGATGAATGCACACACAATACAGAAGTTTCTCAGAAGGCTTCTGTCTAGTTTTTATGTGAAGATATTTCCTATTTCAACAGAGGCATCATTGGGTTCAGAAATATCCTTTTGCAGGTTCTACAAAAGGATTGTTTCCAAACAGCTCAATGAAAAGAAAGGTTCAAATCCGTGTAATGAATGCACACATTACGAAATTTTCAGAATGCTTCTGTCTAGTTTTTATGTGATGATATTTCTTTAACTCCATAGGCCTCAAAATGCTCAGATATATACCACTGCAGATACTACAAAAAGACTGTTTCCAATCTGCTAAATCAAAAGAAAAGTTCTACTCTGTGAGATGAAAGAACACATCATAAGGAAGTTTCCCAGAATGCTTCTGTATAGTTTTCTGTGAAGATATTTCCTTTTTCACCATAGGCCACAAACCCCTCACAAATATTCCTATGCAGATAGTACAAAAAGACTGTTTCTTAATTGTGCATTCATAAGAAAGGTTCTACACTGTGAGAGTAATACACATGTCAGAAAGAAGTTTCTCAGAATGTTCCGTCTAGTTTTTATGTGAAGACATTTCCTATCTCACCTTAGTCCTCAAAAGGCTGACAAATATCCCTTTGCAGATTCTACAATAAGACTTTTTCCAAACTGATCAACGAAAAGAAAGGTTCAACTCTGATCAAGGAATGGACATCACACAAAGAAGTTTCTCAGAGTGCATCTGTCTAGTTATTATGTGAAGACATTTGTTTTTCACCATAGGCGTCAAACAGTTCAGAAATATCCCGTTGCAGATTGTACAAAAAGACTGTTTCCAAACTGCTCAATCAAAACAAAGGTTCGACACTGTGAGATGAATACACTCATCACAAAGACGTTTCTCAGAACGCTTCTGTTTAGTTTTTATGTGAAGATATTTCCTTTTTCACCATAGGCCTCAAAGCACTCCAAATATCCATTTGCAGACTCTACAAAAGGAGTGTTTCTAAACTGCTCAATCAAAAGAAAGATTCAACTCTGTGAGATGAATGCAAACATCATAAAGTAGTTTCTCAGAATGCTTCTGTCTAGTTTTTACGTGAAGATATTTCCTTTTTCACCATAGGCCTTAAACTGCTCACAAATATGCCTCTGCAGATACTACAAAAAGACTGTTTCCAAACTGCTCAATCTAAAGAAAGGTTCGACTCTGTGAGATGAAAGCACAAATCACAAAGAAGTTACTCAGAATGCTTCTTTCTAGTTTTTTTGTGGAGGTATTTCCTATTACACCATGGGCCTCAAAGGGCTCACAAGTATCCCTTTGCAGATTCTACAAAAGGACTGTTACAGAACTGCTCAATGAAAACTAAGTTTCAACTCTGTGAGATGAATGCACACCTAAAAAAGAAGTTTCTCAGCATGCTTCTGTCTAGTTTTTATGTGAAGATATTTCTTTTTCATCATAGGCCTCAAACCACTCAGAAATATCCCTATGCAGATTTTACAAAAAGACTGTTTCCAAACTGTTCAATGAAAAGAGATTATACACTGTAAGATGAAAGCACACATTAAAAAGAATTTTCTCAGAAAGTTTCTATCTAGTTTATATGTGAAGATATTTCCTCTTTCATCATAGGCCTCAAAGGGCTCAAAAATATCCCTTTTCAGATACTACAAACGGCCTCTTTCCAAACTGCTCAATCAAAAGAAAGTTTCAACTCTGTGAGATGAAAGCACACATCACAAATAAGTTTCTCAGAATGTTCGTCTAGTTGTTAAGTGAAGATATTTCCTATTTCACCATAGGCCATAAAGGTATCACAAATATCCCTTTGCAGAATCTACAAAAAGACTGTTTCCAAACAGCTCAATCAAAACAAAGGTTCAACTGTGTGAGATGAATGGACACATCACAAAGTAGTTTCTCAGAAAGCTTCTGTCTAGTTTTTATGGGAAGATATGTCTTTTTCACCATAAGCCTCAAATGGCTAAGAAATATCCCTTTACAGATTGTACAAAAAGACTGTTTCCAAACTGTCAAATGAAAAGAAAGGTTCAACTCTGTGAGATGAATGCAAACATCACAAAGAAGTTTCTCAGAAAATTTCTATCTAGTTTTTATGTGAAGATAGTTCCTTCTTCACAATAGGCTCAAAGCGCTCCAAATATCCATTTGCAGATTCTACAAAAAGACTGTTTCCAAACCGCTCAATCAAAAGAAAGGCTCAACTCTGTGAGATGAATGCACACATCACAAAGAAGTTTTTCAGAAAGTTTTATGTGAAGATATTTCCTTTTTCAACATAGGCTTCAAAGCACTCCACACATCCATTTGCAGATTCTACAAAAAGAGTGTTTCCAAACTGCTCAATCAAAAATAATGTTCAACTCTGTGAGATGAAAGCACACATCATAAAGAAGTTTCTCATAATGCTTCTGTCTAGTTTTTATGTGAAGATATTTCATATTTCACCATAGGCCTCAAAGAGCTCACAAATATCCCTTTGCAGACTCTACAAAAAGACAGTTTTTGAACTGCTCCATGCAAAGAAAGTTTCAACTCTGTGAGAGAATGCACACATAAAAAAGCAGTTTCTCAGAATGCTTCTGTCTAGTATTTATATGTAGATATTTCTTTTTCAACATAGGCATCAAACCGTTCAGAAATATCCCTTTGTAGATTGTACAAAAAGACTGTTTCCAAACTGCTCAATTAAAAGAAAGGTTCAACCCTATGAGATGAATGCACACATCACAAAGAAGTTTCTCAGGATGCTTCTGTCTAGTTTTCATATGAAGATATTTCTTTTTCACCGTAGGCCTCAAACCCCTCAGAAATATCCCTTTGCAGATTGTAGAAAAAGACTGTTTCCTAACTGCTCAATCAAAAGGATGGTTCAACTCTGTGAGATGAAAGCACACAACACAAAGAAGTTTCTCAGAAAGCTTCTGTCTAGTTTTTATGTGAAGATACTTCCCTTCTAACGATAGGCCTCAAAGTGATCCAAACATTGATTTGCAGATTCTACAAAAGACTGTTTCCAAACTGCTCAATAAAAAGAAATTTTTAACTCTGTGAGATGAAAGCACACATCACAAAGAAGTTACTCAGACAGCTTCTGTCTAGTTTTTATGTGAAGATATTTCCTATTTCACCTGAGGCCACAAAGGACTCACAAATATCACTTTGCAGATTCTATAAAAAGACTTTTTCCAAATTGTTGAATCAAAAGAAAGGTTCAACTCTGTGACATCTCAAAGCAGTTTCTCATAATGCTACTGTCTACTTTTTATGTGAAGGTATTTCTCTTTCACCATAGGACTCTAACGGCTCAGAAATATCCCTTTCCATATTGTACAATAATACTCTTTCCAAAATGTTCAACCAAAAGAAACATTCAACTCTGTCAGATGAATGTAGACATCACAAACAAGTTTCTTGGAAAGTTTCTGTTTAGTTTTTATGTGAAGATATTTCTTTTTTCACCATAGGCCTCAAAGCACTCCAAATATCCATTTACAGATTCTACAAAAAGAGTCTTTCTAAACTGCTCAAATAAAAGACACTTTCAACTTTGTGAGATGAAAGCACACATCACAAAGAAGTTTCTTAGAAAGCTTCTGTCTAGTTATTATGTGAAGATATTTCATATTTCACCGTTGGCCTCAATGGGCTCAGAAATATCCCTTTTCAGATTCTACAAAAGGACTGTTTCCAAACTGCTCAAACTAAAGAAAGGTTCAACTCTGTGAGATGAATGCACACATCACAAAAGTTTCTCAGAATGCTTCTGTCTAGTTTTCATGTGAAGATATTTCTTTTTCACCATAGACCTCAAACTGCTCACAAATATCCCCCTGCAGATACTACAAAAAGACTGTTTCCAAACTGCTCAATCAAAATAAATGTTCAACTCTGTGAAATGAATGCACACGTCACAAAGAAGTTTCAGAGAATGCTTCAGTCTACTTCTTATGTGAATATAATTCCTTTTTCACGATAGGCCTCAAAACTCTACAAATATCTATTTGCAGATTCCAGAAAAAGAATGCTTCCAAACTGCTCAATCAAAAGAAAGTTTCAACTCTTTGAGATGAAAGCACACATCACAAAGAAGTTTCTTAGAAAGATTCTGTCTAGTTATTATGTGAAGATATTTCATATTTCACCGTAGGCCTCAATGGTTCAGAAATATCCCTTTGCAGTTTCTACAAAAGGACTCTTTCCAAACTGCTCACTCCAAAGAAATTTTCAACTCTGTTATATGAATTCACACATCACAAAATTTCTCAGAATGCTTCTGTCTAGATTTTATGTGAAGATATTTCCTTTTTCACCATAGGTGTCAAACTGCCCACAAATATCCCTCTGCAGATACTACAAAAAGACTGTTTCCAACCTGCTCAATCAAAAGAAATGTTCAACTATGTGAGACAAATGCACACATCACAAATAAGTTTCTCAGAAAGCTTCTGTCTACTTTTTATGTGAATATATTTCCTTTTTCAACATAGGCCTGAAAGCTCTCCAAATATCCCTTTGCAGATTCTACAAAAGGACTTTTTCCAAACTACTCAATCAAAACAAAGATTCAGCCCTGTGAGATGAATGCACACATCACAAAGTAGTTTATCAGAATACTTCTGTCTAGTTTTTATGTGAATACATTTCTTTTTCACCACAGGCCTCAAATGACTCAGAAATATCCCTTTGCAGATTGTCCAAAAAGACTCTTTCCAAACTGCTCAATCAAAGAAAAGGTTCAACATGTGAAATGAAAGTGCACATCACAAAGAAGTTTCTCAGATGGTTTCTTTGTAGTTTTAATGTGAAGATATTTCCTTTTTCATTATACGCCTCAGTGGATTCAAAAATATCCCTTTGGAGATCCTACAAAAGGCCTCTTTCCAAACTGCTCTAACAAAGGAAAATTTCAACTCTGTGAGGTGAATGCACACATCACAAATAAGTTTCTCAGAAAGCTTCTAATTTTTATGTGAAGATATTTCATATTTCACCTTAAGCCATAAAGGGATCACAAATATCCCTTTACAGAATATACAAAAAGACTGTTTCCAAGCTGCTCCATCAAAAGAAAATTTCAACTGTATGAGATGAATGAACACATCACACAGAAGTTTCTCAGAAAGCTTCTGTCTAGTTTTTATGTGAAGATATTTCTTTTTCACCATAGGCCTCAAACGTCTAAGAAGTATCCCTTTGCAGATTGGACAAAAAGACTGTTTCAAAACTGCTCAATAAAAAGAAATTTTCAGCTTTGTGTGATGAATGTACACATCACAAAGAACTTTCTCAGAATGCTTCTGTCTAGTTTTTATCTGAAGATATTTACTCTTTCACCATGGGCCTTAAACCAATCCCAAATATCCCTCTGCATATACTTCAAAAAGACTGCTTCCAAACTGCTCAATGAAAAGAAAGGTTCAACTCTGTGAGATAAAAGCACACATCACAAAGAAGTTCTTCAGAAGGTTTCTAACTAGGTTTTATATGAAGATATTCAGTTTTTCACCACAAGTCACAAAGCGCTCCAAATATCCATTTGCAGATATATCAAAAAGACTGCTTCCAAACTGCTCAATCAAAACAAAGTTCCAACTCTCTGAGATGAATGCAAATATCACAAAGAAGTTTCTCAGAATGCTTCTGTCTAGTTTTTCTGTGAAGATATTTCTTATTTCACCATGGGCCTCAAGGGGCTCACATAGATCCTTTGGCAGATTCTACTAAAAGACTGTTTCTGAACTTCTCAATGAAAAGAAACGTTCAACTCTGGGAGGTGAATGCACACATAAAAAGAAGTTTCTCAGAATGCCTCTGTCTAGTTTTTATGTGAAGATATTTCTTTTTCACCATAGGCCTGAAACAGCTAAGAAATTTCCCTTTGCACCTTCTACAAAAGACTGTTTCCAAACTGCTCAATGGAAAGAAAGGTTGAATTCTGTGACATGAATTCACACATCACAAAGAAGTTTCTCAGAAATTTTCTGTCTAGTTTTTATGTGAAGGTACTTCCTTTTTCACCATGGGCCTCAAATAGCTCCAAATATCCATTTGCAGATTCTACAAAAAGATTTTCCAAACTGCTTAATCAAAAGAAACGTTCAACACTGTGAGATGAAAGCACACATCACAAAGAAGTTTCTCAGAATGCTTCTGTCTAGTTTTTATGTGAAGATATTTTGTATTTCACCACAGGCCCTAAAGGGCTCACAAATATCCCTTTGCAGATTCTACAAAACGACTGTTTCCAAACTGCTCAATCAAAAGAAATGTTCAACTCTGTGACATGAATGGACACATCACAAAGAAGTTTCTCATGAATGCTTCTGTCTAGTTTTTATGTGCAGATGTTTCATTTTCACCATAGGCCTCAAATGGCCCAGAAATATCCCTTTGCAGATTGTACAAAAAGACTGTTTCCAAACTGCTCAATCAAAGCAAAGGTTCAACACTGTGAAATGAAAGTGCACATCACAAAGAAGTTTCTCAAAATGTTTTTGTCTAGTTTTTAATGTGAGTATATTTCCTTTTTGACCATAGGCCTCAAAGCTCTCCAAATATCCTTTTGTAGATTCTTCAAAAAGACTGTTTCCAAAGTGATCAATCAAAAGAAAGGTTCAACTCTGTAGGATGAAAGCATATATCACAAAGTAGTTTCTCAGAAAGCTTCTGTCTAGTATTTCTGTGAAGATATTTCCTATTTCACCATAAGCCTCAAAGGGATCACAAATATCCCTTTGCAGATTCTACAAAAACACTGTTTCCAAACTGCTTAATGAAAAAAAATGTTCAACTCTGTGAGGTGAATGCACATATAAAAAAGAAGTTTCTCAGAATGCTTCTGTCTAGTTTTTATGTGAGGATATTTCTTTTTCACCACAGGCCTGAAACCACTCAGAAATATTCCTTTGCAGATTGCACAAAAAGAATGTTTCCAAACTCCTCAATGAACAGAAAGGTTCAACTCTTTGAGATGAATGCAAACATCACAAAGAGTTATCTCAAAAACTTCTGCCTGGTTTTTATGTGAAGATATTTAGTTTTTCACCATAGGCTTCAAACTGCTCAAAAATATACCTTTGCAGATTCTATACAATGACTTGTTCCCAAACTGCTCAATGAAAAGAAAGGTTCAAATCTGTGATATGAAAGCACGCATCACAAAGAAGTTTCTCAGAATGCTTGTGTCTAGTTATTATGTGAAGATATTTCCTATTTCACTATAGGACTCAAAGGGCTCAGAAATATCCCTTTGCAGATTCTACAAAAGGACTGTTTCCAAACTGCTCAATCAAAAAAAAGGTTCAATTCTGTGAGATGAAAGCATGCATCACAAAGAAGTTTCTCAAAAAGATTCTGTCTAGTTTTTATGTGAAGATATTTCCTATTTCACCATAGTCCTCAAAGGGCTCAGAAATATCCCTTTGCAGATTCTATGAAAAGACTGTTTCCAAACTACTGAATGCAATGAAAGGTTCAACTCTGTGGGATGAATGCACACATCACAGAGAAGTTTCCTGGAATGTTTCTGTCTAATTTTATGTGAAGATATTTCTTTTTCACCATAGGCCTCAAATCACTCAGAAATATCCCTTTACAGATTGTGCAAAAAGACGGTTTCCAAACAGCTCAATGAAAAGGAAGATTCAACTCTGGGAGATGAATACAAACATCACAAAGAGGTTTCTCAAAAATCTTCTGTCTGGTTTTTATGTGAAGGTATTGCCTTTTTCACCACAGGCCTCAAGCCACTCATAAATATTCCTTTTCAGATTCTACAAAAAGACCGTTTCCAAACTGCTCAATGAAAGAAAGGTTAAACTCTGAGATGAAAGCACACATCACAAAGAAGTTTCTCAGAACGCTTTTGTCTAGTTTTATGTGAAGAAATTTCCTTTTTTCACCATAGGCCTCAAAGCGCTCCAAATATCCACCTGCAGATTCTACAAAAAGACTGTTTCCAAATTGCTCAATCAAAAGAACTGTTCAACTCTGTGAGATGAATGCACACATAACAAAGAAGTTTCTCAAAAAACTTCTGTTTACTTTTTATGTGAAGATATTTCCTTTTTCACCATGGGCCTCAAAGCACTCCAAATATCCACTTGCAGATTCTACAAAAAGAGTGTTTCCAATCCACTCAATCAAAAGAAAGGTTCCACTCTGTGAGATGAAAGCACACATCACAAAGAAGTTTCTTAGAAACCTTCTATCTAGTTTTTATGTGAAGATATTTCACATTTCAAAGTAGGCCTCAATGAGCTAAAAACTGTTTCCAAACAGCTCAATCAAAAGAAAGGCTTAACTCTGTGAGATGAATGCACACATCACAAAGAACGTTCTCAGAATGCTTCTGTCTAGTTTTTTTGAGAAGCCATTTCCTTTTTCACTATAGGCCTTGGTCCACTCACTAATAGCCCTCTGCAGATACTACAAAAAGACTCTTTCCAAACTGCTCAATAAAAATAAAGGTTCAAATCTGTGAGATGAAAGCCCACATCACAAAAAGTTTCTCAGAAAGATTCTGTCTAGTTTTTATGTGAAGATATTTCCCATTTCACCTTAGGCCTCAAAGGGATCACAAATATCCCTTTTCAGATTCTACAAAAAACTGTTTCCAAACTACTTCATAAACAGAAAGGTTCAACTCTGTGAGATGAATGCACACATAAAAAATTAGTTTCTCAGAATGCTTCTGTCCAGTTTTTATGTGAAGATATTACTTTTTCACCATAGGTCTCAAACCACAAACAAATATTCATTTGCAGATTGCACAAAAAATATGTTTCCACACTGCTCAATAAACAGAAAGGTTCAACTCAATGAGATGAATGCAAACATCACAATGAGTTTTCTCAAAATGTTTCTGTCTAGGTTTTATGTGAAGATATTTACCTTTTCACCATAGGCCTCAAGCCGCTCACAAATATCCCTTTGCAGATTCTACAAAATGACTTGTTGCCAAACTGCTCAATGAAAACGAAGGTCCAAATCTGTGAGATGAAAGCACGCATCACAAAGTAGTTTCTCAGACAGTTTCTGTCTAGTGTTTATTTGCAGATATTTCCTTTTTCACCATAGGCCTCAAAGCACTCCAAGTATCCATTTGTAGGCTCTACAAAAAGAGTGTTTCCAAAGTGCTCAATCAAAAGAGAGGTTGAACTCTGTGAGCTGAAAGCACACAGCATGAAGAAGTTTTTCAGAAAGCTTCTGTCAAGTTTTTATGTGAAGATATTTCCTATTTCACCATAGGCCTCAATGGGCTCACAAATATCCCTTTGCAGATTCTACAAAAGGACTCTTTCCAAACAGCTCAATCAAAGGAAAGTTTCAACTCTGTGACATGAATGCACACATCACAAATCAGCTTCTCAGAATGCTTCTATCTAGTTTTTATATGAAGATATTTCCTGTTCATCATAGGCCTAAAATGCTGCAAATATCCATTTGCAGATTCTACAAAAAGACTGCTTATAACCTGCTCAATCAAAGGAAAGTTCAACTCTGTGCGATGAAAGCACACATCACAAAAAAGTTTCTCAGAAAGCTTCTATCTATTTTTTCTGTGAGGCTATTTCCTATTTCCCCACAGGCCTCAATGAACCCACAAATATCCCTTTGCAGATTCTACAAAAAGACTGTTTCCGAACTGCTCAATGAAAAGAAAGTTACAACTCTGTGATGTGAAAGCACCCACAAAACAGAAGTTTCTCAGATTGCTTCTGTATAGTTTTTATGTGAAGATATTACTTTTTCACCATAGGCCCCAAACCGCTCAGAAATATTCCTTTGCAGATTGTACAAAAGGACTGTTTCCAAACTGCTCAATGAAAAGGAAGATTCATCTCTGTGAGATGAATGCACACATAAAAAAGAAGTTTCTCAGAATGCTTCTGTCTAGTTTTTATGTGAAGATATTTCCTTTTTCACCATAGGCCTTAAAGTGCTCACAAATATCCCTCTGCAGATACCACAAGAAGACTGTTTCCAAACTGCTCCATGAAAACAATGGCTCAACTCTGTGAGATTAATGCACACATCACACAGAAGTTTCTCAGAATGATTCTTTTTAGTTTTTATGTAAAGGTATTTCCTATTTCATCATAGGCTGTAAAGGGCTCAACAATATCCGTTTGCATATTCTAAAAAAAGACTGTTTCCAAACTGCTCAAACAAAAGAAATGTTCAACTCTGTGAGATGAATGCACACATCAAAAGGAAGTTTCTCAGAATGCTTCTGTCTAGTTTTTATGTGAAGATATTTCTTTTTCACCATAGGCCTCAAACGGCTCAGAAATATCCCTTTGCAGATTTTACAAAAAGACTGTTTCCAAACTGCTCAATCAAAAGAAAGGTCCAACACTCTGAGATGAATGCACACATCACAAAGAAGTTTCTCAGAAGGCTTCTGTTTTGTTTTTATTTGAAGATATTTCCTTTTTCACCATAGGCCTCAATGGGCTAAGAAATATCCCTTTGCAGATGCTACAAAAGGAATTTTTAGAAAACTGCTGAATCCAAAGACAGATTCAACGCTGTGAGATGAATGCACACATCACACAGAAGTTTCTCAGAATGCATCTGTCCAGTATTTTTTATGTGAATATGTTTTCTTTTTCACCATAGGCCTCAAAGCAGTCCAAATACCCATTTGCAGATTCTACAAGAAGAGTGTTTCCAAACTGCTCAATCAAAAGAAAGGTTCAACACTGTGACATGAAAGCACACATCACAAAGAAGTGTCTCAGAAAGCTTCTGTCTAGTTTTTTTTTGTGAAGATATTTCCTATTTCACCATGGGCCATATAGGGCTCACAAATATTTTTTGCAGATTCTACAAAAAGACTGTTTCCAAACTGCTCAATCCAAAGAAAGTTTCAACTCTGTGAGATGAATGGACACATCACAAAAAAGTTTACCAGAATGCTTCTGTCTAGTTTTTATGTGAAGATATTACTTTTTCACCCTAGGCTTCAATGGGCTCAGAAATATCCCTTTGCAGATCCTACAAAAGGTCTGTTTCCAAACTGCTCAGTCAAAGAAAAGTTCACCTCTATGAGATGAATGCACACATCACAGAGATGTTTCTCAGAATGCTTCTGCCTAGTTTCTATGTGAAGGTATTTCCTTTTTCACCATAGGCCTCAACGCTCCAAACATCCATTTGCAGATTCCACAAAAAGACTGTTTCCAAACTGCTCAATCAAAAGAGAGGTTCAACTCTGTGAGTTGAAAGCACACATCACAAAGAAGTTTCTCAGAAAGTTTCTGTCTAGTCTTTCTGTGAGGATAATTCCTGTTTCACCATGGGCCATAAAGGGCTCACAAATATTTTTTGCAGATTCTACAAAAAGATTGTTTCCAAACTTCTCAATACAAAGAAAGGTTCAACTCTGTGAGATGAATGGACACAACACAAAGAAGTTTCTCAAAATGCTTCTGTCTAGTGTTTATGTGAGATATTTCCTTTTTCACCATAGGCCTCAAAGCGCTCCAAATATCCATTTGCAGATTCTACAAAAAGACTGTTTCCAAATTGCTCAATGAAAAGAAAGTTTCAACTCTGTGAGGTGAAAGCACACATCACAAAGAAGTTTCTCAGAATGTATCTTTCTAGTTTTTTTTGTGAGGATCTTTTCCTTTTCACCATAGGCCTCAAACCACTCCAAGTATCCATTTGCAGATTCTACCAAAAGACTGTTTACAAACTGCTAAATCAAAAGAAAGGTTCAGCCCTGTAATATGAATGAACGTATCACAAAGAAGTTTCTCAGAAAGTTTCTGTTTAGTGTTTATCTGAAGATATTTCCTTTTTCACCATAGGCCTCAAAGTGCTCTGAATGTGCATTTCCAGATTCTACAAAAAGTCTGTTTCCAAACTGCTCAATGAAAAGAAAGGTTCAACTTTGTGAGATGAAAGCACACATCACAAAGAAGTTTCTCAGAATGTTTCTTTCTAGTTTTTTTGTGAAGATATTTCCTTTTTCACCATAGGCCTCAAAGCACTCCAAATATCCATTTACAGATTCTACAAAAAGACTGTTTACAAACAGCTCAATCAAAAGAAAGTTTCAACGCTGTGAGATGAATGCACGCATTACAAAGTAGTTTCTCAGAAATCTTTTGTTTAGTTTTTATGTGAAGATATTTCCTTTTTCACCATAGGCCTCAAAGCACTCCAATTATCCACTTGCAGATTCTGCAAAAAGAGTGTTTCCAAACTGCTCAGTCAAAAGAAACCCTCAGTTCTTTGAGATGAAAGCACTCATTAAAAGAGGTTTCTCAGAAAGCTTCTGTCTAGCTTTTATGTGAAGATACTTTCTATATCACCAAAGGCCTCAATGAGCTCAGAAATATCCCTTTGGGGATTCTACAAAGGACTGCTTCCAAACTGCTCTAGCAAAAGAAAGCTTCAACTGTGTGAGATGAATGCACCCATCACAAAAAAAGTTTCTCAGAATGTTTCTGTGTAGTTTTTATATGAAGATATTTCCTACTTCACAATAGGCCTCAAAGGGTTCACAATTATCCCTTTGTAGATTTTACAAAAAAAAAGTGTTTCCAAATCTTCAATCAAAGAAATGTTCAACAGTGTGAGATGAATGCAAATGTCAGAAAGAAGTTTTTCAGAATGCTTCCATCTAATTTTTATGTGAAGATATTTCCTTTTTCACCATAGGCCTCAAAGCGATCCAAATATCCATTTGCAGTTTCTACAAAAAGACTGTTTCCAATCTGCACAATTGAAAAACATTTTCAAATCTGTGAGATGAAAGCACACATCACAGAGAAGTTTCTCAAAAAGCTACTGTCTAGTTTTTATGTGAAGATATTTCCTATTTCACCATAGGCCATAAAGGGCTCACAAATATACATTTGCAGATGCTACAAAAATACTGTTACCAAACTGCTCAATCAAAAGAAAATTTCAACTCTGTGAGATGAATGGACACATCACAAAGTAGTTTCTAAGAATGCTTCTGTCTAGTTTTTATTGGAAGATATTTCTTTTTCATCATAGGCCTCAAACGGCTCAGAAATATCCCTTTGCAGATTGTACAAAAAGACTGTCTCCAAACTGCTCAATCAAAAGAAAGGTTCAACTCTGTCAGATGAATTCAAACATCACAAAGAGGTTTCTCAAAATGCTTCTGTCTAGTTTTTATGTGAAGGTATTTCCTTTTTCACCACATGCCTCAAATGGCTCACAAATATCCCTTTGCAGATTCTACAAAAAGACTGTTTCCAAACTGCTCAATGAAAAGAAAGTTTAAACTCTGTGAAATGAAATCTCTCATCACAAAGAAGTTTCTCAGAATGCTTCTGTCTCGTTTTTATGTGAAGAACTTTCCTTTTTCACCATAGGCCTCAAACCGCTCCAAATACCCATTTGCGGATTCTACAAAAAGACTGTTTCCAACTGCTCAATCAAAAGAATGGTTCAACTCTGTGAGATGAGTGCATGCATCACAAAAAAAGTTGATCAGAAAGCTTCCATTTAGTTTCTATGTGAAGATATTTCCTTTTTTACCATGGGCCTCAAAGTCCTCCAAATATCCATTTGCAGATTCTACAAAAAGAGTGTTTCCAAACTGCTCAATCAAAAGAAAGGTTCAACTCTGTGAGATGGAAGCACGCAGCACAAAGAAGTTTCTTAGAAACCTTCTGTCTAGTTTTTATGTGAAGATATTTCATAATTCACCATAGGCCTCAATGGGCTCAGAAATATACCTTTGCAGATTCTACAAAATAATTGTTTCCAAACTGCTCAATCCAACGAAAGGTTCAACACTGTGAGATGAATTCACACATCACAAAGAAGTTTCTCAGAAAGCTTCTGTCTAGTTTTTATGTGAAGATATTTCCTTTTTCAACATAGGCCTCAAACCACATGCAAACATCCCTTAGGAGATACTACAAAAAGACTGTTTCCAAACTGTTCAATCAAAAGAAAGGTTCAACTCTGTATGATAAATGCACATGTCACCAAGAAGTTTCTCAGAATGCTTCTGTCTAGTTTTTATGTGAGGATATTTCCTTTCTCAACAAGGTCTCAAACCTCTCCAAATGTCCATTTGCAGATTCTACAAAAAGATGTTTTCCAAACTGCTCAATGAATAGAAAGGTTCAACTCTGTGAAACGAAAGCACATATCACAAAGAAGTTTCATAGAATGTTGCTTTCTAGGTTTCTGTGAAAATATTTCCTTTTTCACCATAGTCCTCAAAGTGCTCCAAATATCCATTTGCAGATTCTACAAAAAATGTGTTTCAAAACTGCTCAATAAAAAGAAAGGTTCAACTCTGTGAGATGAAAGCACACATCAAAAAGAAGTTTCTCAGAAATCCTCTGACTAGTTTTTATGTGAAGATATTTCCTATTTCACCATAGGCCTCAAAGGGCTCACAAACATCCCTTTGCAGATTCTACAAAAGGACTGTTTTGAAACTGCTCAATCAGAAGAAAGATTCAACTCTGTGAGATGAATGTATACATCACAAAGAAGTTTCTAAGAATGCTTCTGGCTAGTTTTTATGTGAAGATATTTCCTTTTTCACCATAGGCCTCAAAGCGCTCCAAATATCTATTTGCATATTCTACAAAAAAGACTGTTTCCAAACTCCTCAATGAAAAGAGAGCTTCAACTCTGTGAGATGAAAGCACACTTCACAAAAAAGTTTCTCAGAATGCTTCTGTCTAGTTTTTATGTGAAGATATTTCCTATTTCACCTTAGGCCATAAAGGACTCATAAATATCCTTCTGCAGATTCTAGAAAAGGACTCTTTCCAAAGTGCTCAATCAAAAGAAAGGTTCAACTCTGTGAGATGAATGCGCACATCACAAAGAAGTTTCTCAGAAAGCTTCTGTCCAGTTTTTTATATGAAAATATTTCCCTTGCACCATACCTATCAAAGCGCTCAAAATATCCTTTGCAGATTCTCCTAAAAAGACTCTTTCCAAACTTCTCA
>NC_000014.9:16054459-16061677 GCF_000001405.40 Homo sapiens | reverse complement strand
TTCTGTCTAGTTTTTATGTGAAGATATTTCCTTTTTCACCATAGGTCTCAAAGTGTTCACAAATATCCCTTTGCATATTCTACAAAAAGACTGTTTCCAAATTGCTCAATCAAAGGAATGGTTCAACTCTGTGAGATGAGTGCACACATCACACAGATGTCTCTCAAAAGCTTCTGTCTAGTTTTCATGTGAAGATATTTCCTTTTTCACCATAAGCCTGAAAGTGTTCACAAATATCCATTTGCAGATTCTACAAAATACTGTTTCCAAAATGCTCAATCAATAGAAAGGTTCAACTCTGTGAGATGAAGTCACACATCACAAATCAGTTTCTCAGAAACCTTCTTTCTAGTTTTTATGTGAAGACATTTCCTTTTTCAACATAGGCTTCAAAGCGCTCACAAATATCCCTTTGCAGATTCTACAAGAAGACTGTTACCAAACTGCTCAATCAGAAGAATGGTTCTACTCTGTGAGATGAACTACACATCAAAAAAAAAAGTTTCTCAGAAATCGTCTGTCTAGTTTTTATGTGAAGATATTTCCTTTTTCATCATTGGCCTCAAAGTGCTCACAAATATCCCTTTGCCAATTTTACAAAAATACTGTTTCCAAACTGCTCAATCAAAAGAATGGTTCAACTCTGTGAGATGAATGCACACACAACCAGGAATTTTCTCAGAAACTTCTGTCAAGTTTTTATGCGATGATATTTCCTTTTTCACCACAGGCCTCAAACTGCTCACAAATATCCCTTTGCAGATCCTACAAGAACAGAGTTTCCAATCTGCTCAATGAAAAGAAACATTTACCTCTGTGACATGAACACCCACATCACAAAGCAGTTTCTCATAAATCTTCTTTCTAGTTTTTATGTGAAGATATTTCCTTTTTCACCATAGGCCTCAAAGTGCTCACAAATATCCCTCTGCAGATTCTACAAAAACACCATTTCCAAGCTTTTCAATCAAAAGAATGGTTTAACTCTGTGAGATGAATCCACACGTCACAAAGTAGTTTCTCAGAAAGCGTCTGTCTAGTTTTTATGTGAAGATATTTCCTTTTTCACCATAGACCTCAAAGCACTCACAAATATCACTTTGCAGATTGTACAAGAACAGAGTTTCCAGACTGATCAAGGGAATGAAACGTTTAACTCTGTGAGATGAATGCAGACATCACAAAGCAGTTTCTCAGAAACATTCTTTATAGTTTTTATGTGAAGGTATTTCCTTTTTCACCATGGCCTCAAAGTGCTCACAGATATCCCTTTGCAGATTCTACAACAACAAAATTTCCAAACTGCTCATAATTAGTTTTTAGGACCAACATGAGCATTTAGAAACACTGCTTGTGGTGCAGCACACATGTGTTATCCACACTGAAATGAGGAATTCAACAGAAGTTCATGTAGAGCCCAAAATGTGAATATTTGGGGGACCTTGGAGATGATCTAGTTCACTTTATTTTGTAGAAAAGAAAACAGATTCAGGGAAATGGCATGCATTGCCTAAGGTGATTCTGCAGCTTTGGTGCAGAAACAAAACACAGCTAAGGTGATTCATCAGGTTTGGAGCAGAAACGCAATACAATCTCTGTTCTTTTGCTTCTCAGATCCAGAATTTTTTCACAATACTGAACTACTTACGTTTCTGATTCCTTATTTTTTCTTTTAAAATTTTGCCAGTATTGTCTTACAAAGATCCTATTCTTTACCCTAAATATTTAAATTGGTTACCACTATTGTCTCTTTATAAGTAAAATTACTAGTAGTTATTATAAATGATTATTCAATCACTTTTCATTTTTGGGGGTCCAGTACAAAGTTAGTAACAAAGAAACACTATTGGCCTTGGCAATCCAAGAGGAGCTCAAGTCCTCCAGGGCACGTCAGAAAAAGGCTAAATGACAGCTGTGCTGCGAGTGGACAGGATACAGCTCTCATACAGACTATTGAATATTTGATGTTCTTCAACAATTTCATTAATCTTCAGTTTTTTTCCTCTTTGAAGTGAAAGTCTGCTATGACTTTCAAGTTTCTTTTGAAATAATTATAGATTCACAGGAAGTTGCAAAAGGTACAGGGATGTCTTAGGTACTCTTCACTAATTCCAGTGGTGACATCTCGCATAGCCATAGAGCATTATCAAAACCTGGAAACTGACATAGGTACAATTCAGAAAGCTTACTCAGATCGCAACTGTTTTGCATGCATTCATTTTTGTACGTGTGTATGCGTGTGCGGGTGTTCTGTTCATTTTTATGTGGTGTAGATCTCTGTAACTACCACTTCGACAGTCAAGATGCAGAACTGTAGTCTCACCATCAGGCTCCATCTTGGGATCTTTGCTGACACTCTAACACATTTTCCTCCACCCCTTCCCCTTGGCAACCCCATAGTCTGTTCTCCATCTTTACAATTTTATTTCAATAATTTATATAAATGTAATTGTACAAAATCGTATCTTTAAAGGGAAAAAACAAGCCACAGATAGTTTTGTTAGCACTGTAAAATAGTCTTTAACATTCATCTGTTTTATGTTCTATTTGTCTCAGAAAATGTGCTTTGTTCTTTCCCATACTTTCTGATATCAGGATAGGAAATCAATACCAAACAAAACAATTCCATTCATTTTTTTCCACAGCTTTGTTTTCACTGTTGTTGCCTAACATTTATTGTTGCATTTACTCTTTCTCTCTGTTTTCCATCACATAAAAGTAACTTTGTGTTCTTTATCTCTTCTAAGAAAACTTGGTAATGAGCCTTTAATGTGACGACTGGACCACCCTTGTTTTGATTTTATGTTATGGATGTTCTTTTGTGTGATCGTTCTCATGGAGAATCCTTGTGAAGCTGGGCTTTTCCAGTGGTTTGTCAAAATGGAAATAGATATTTAACAAACCAAACACAAAATGACCTTGTTCCAGGAATGCATCATTTCTGAGAAAACACTACCTCTTCCAACTAGATATTGTGAATATTACTCATATTATCTTTTACTCCCTTTTATTAAAACTGTATTTTTTTACACTTTTGTGTAACTCGGGTAATGAAATGTGAAACTAAGTGATTGCCTACCAATTACAATTGATGTTAATGATGCTACTGGGAGGCCACCCCTACAGTGGCTGCACCAAGTCTAGGGACATGCTAGCTTTGTTAAGTTACATGAGATTGCCTACGTACTAAATGGAGGTGGGGCATGGGTCCGAGGATGCGGCGGTGCTGCCCTGCCCCAACATGGAAGCTCCGGATGGGGCCCCAGGCACCGCGTGGCCCAGAGCCGGAGGTGGGCACGCGATAGTGGACGACACCACAGCGTCCAGCGGATCTCCAGCAGGGGCAAGCGAACCATGGGACCATGGCCACGAGCACTGCCAGACGGGCCGTGTGGCAGGCTTCCGGCCCCGGACACACCATGACGTGCCGGGCGGGCGGGGGGTGGGCAGGGGGTGGGCGGGCGAGGAGGATGGTGCCTCAGAGGAGTGTTGGGGACGAGGGGCACTGGAGCTGCGGTCAGCCAGTCACTGGGCCGCCTCCAGGGGTGGACGGTGAACCGCAGCGACTGGGACGTGCTCCCCCACCCTCTCCCCGGTGGACCCTTCCTATTTGCCTTCCTCCCAACCCCCAGCAAGCCTCCACCACCGACGACATGAGACAACGACGGCATGGGACCTTCCACCCCGCCAGGGCCAATGAACCCTGCACCATGAGCTGCATGAGGCATGAGGGAGCCCCCAAGGGAGGATCCCAGACCATGAAGGTGGCCACAGGAACTCAGCCACAGCCGGCTATCTTCCCTTTCTGTTTTCACAAGTGGCGGTGCTGCCCTCTCTCTCTTCCTCACAGCCGGGAGCCCCCCTTCCCCACGCCACCCAACGCGTGACCACACAGGGCCTGCGGGGGGAGGGGGAAGGGACGGGCACAGTGGGAGAGGAGGGCGGATGTCACCGGTCTGCACTTGGGGGGACAGAGGGCCCTGTGGGCCCTGCCACAGAACAGCTGGGCACCCCAAGGAGCCCAGAGGCAACCCTGGGGAATTTTGATCGGCAAGCGACGCTCAGACAGGCATAGCCCTGGGAGGAACCCAGGCCGCAAGTGCATTCAAGTGTCGATGATCAATGTGTCCTGCAGTTCACATTAATTCTCCCAGCTAGCTGCATTCTTCATTGATGCAGGAGCTGAGTGATCCACCACTAAAAGTCATACAAGGTTGATTTGGCGAGGGCACTCCCAACAACGGGAGGCCCTCCTGGCACAGCACGTCCCCCAGAGGGGTTACCTCAGGCCGGCCAGTCAGACAGCAACGGGACCAGACTCCAGAGAGGGGTTGGAAGGTTTCACAACACAGGGAGGTGGTGCCAACCACGGGGGGGACAAAGGCTGACACCACCCCATGGGAGCCCAGGGGTTCCCGCCCCCACAGTGCGGGGTACAGGCCACATGCAAGGCATGTGTGACAGCACGATGGCCGCTGGGTAAAGCCCCCACCGGCATCAGCGGCGACACGCAAGTGTGGCGTGGCCCCCGGCTGGCCGGGGGGATGGAGTCAGCAGGGGAGGCGAGGGAGGGGCGGGCCCCTCCTGAACGGACTCCACTGAGGGCCCACTGCACCTGACCCACAGGCAGACTGGCGACCCCCCAAGGGGTCCTTAAACCTCCGCACCAGAATGCGCTAGGTACCTGGATGGTGGGGGCGGATGAGGGGGGTGGGACCGGCGTCCAGCCCCCTACCCTCGAGACCCCCTAGTGGGAAGGCTGGGGAGAGCAAGCAGGCTGGGCCGGGCCAGTGGCATGGTTTGACAGAGGCGACGATGGTGGCAGCGGCAGCGATGGGAACCTGGCCAGCCCCAACGGGAGCGGGCGGGATGGGGCCAAGACAGTGCGACAGGGCATGATGACGGCCCCAGTGGGGAGGGCACCGAGACCCCCACCCCACCATGACGCCGAGAACCACCCCCGCGCCCACCGACGCACACATGGGGGCCACAGCAGGGGACCGCTCCCCACTGCTCACCAGGCCGGCGAGCCATCCAGCCCACCCCACGACAAGCACACAGTTTCATCCCCACACGCATGTCTCTCTCTACCCCCTCTCTCCCTTCTGAGTTCTCTGGCTCTCGGGGCAGATGGGGCCATGCAACGAACAAAGGGCACGACCCCACCCATGCATGCGCCACAGGGGAACACAGTCAGCCAAGGAGGAAGGACATGGCGGCATCTCCGTGGCTTTGCTCTTCTCTGTTAATGATCCCTCCGCAGGTTCACCTACCGAAACTTTGTTACGACTTTTACTTCCTCTAGATAGTCAAGTTCGACTGTCTTCTCAGCGTTCCGACAGGGCAGTGGGCTGACCCGGAGGGGCTGATCCGAGGGCCTCACTAAACCATCCAATCAGGAGTAGCAACCTGCAGTGTGTACAAAGGACAGGGACTTCATGCAAGCTTATGACCAGCACTTACTGGGAATTCCTCATTCATGGGGAAAAATTGCAATCAATGATCACCATTGCCAATGAGGTTCAACAGGTTACCCACATCTGCCACATAGGGTAGGCACACGCTGAGCCAGTCAGTGCAGCGCGCGTGCAGCCCTGGACATTTAAGGGCATCACAGACCTGTTATTGCTCAATCTCAGGTGGCTAAACGCCACTTGTCCCTCTAAGAAGTTGGGGGATGCCAACCACTCGGGGGTCGCATAACTAGTTGGCATGCCAGAGTCTCGTTCATTATTGGAATTAACCAGACAAATCACTCCAGCAACTAAGGCCATGCACCACCACCTGTGGAATTGAGAAAGAGCTATCAATCTGTCAATCCTGTCCGTGTCCAGGCCAGGTGAGTTTTCCCATGTTGAGTCAAATTAAGATGCAGGCTCCACTCCTGGTGGTGCCCTTCTGTCAATTCCTTTAAGTTTCAGCTTTGCAACCATACTCCCCTCGGAACCCAAAAACCCAAAGACTTTGGTTTCTTGGAAGCTGCCCAGCGGGTCATGGGAATAACGCTGCCACATCGCCAGTCGGCATCGTTTATGGTCGGAACTACAACGGTATCTGATCGTCTTCGAACCTCTGACTTTCGTTCTTGATTAATGAAAACATTCTTGGCAAATGCTTTCGCTCTGGTCCAAACTGTGCCAGTCCAAGAATTTCACCTCTAGCGGTGCAATATGAATGCCCCCGGCCGTCCCTCTTAATAATGGCCTCAGTTCCGAAAACCAACAAAATAGAACCGTGGTCCTATTCCATTATTCCAAGCTGCAGTATCCAGGCGGCTTGGGCCTGCTTTGAACACTCTAATTTTTTCAAAGTAAACGCTTCGGGCCGCAGGACACTCAGCTAAGAGCATCCAGGGGGCACCGAGAGGCAAGAAGCAGGGACAGGCTGTGGCTCGCTAGCCCACCCGTTCCCAAGATTCAACTACGAGCTTTTTAACTGCAACAACTTTAATATACGCTATTGGAGCTGGAATTACCATGGCTGCTGGCACCAGACTTTCCCTCCAATGGATCCTCATTAAAAGATTTAAAGTGGACTCATTCCAATTACAGGGCCTTGAAAGAGTCCTGTATTGTTATTTTTTGTCACTACCTCCCGTGTCAGGAGTGGGTAATTTGAGTGTCTGCTGCCTTCCTTGAATGTGGTAGCCGTTTCTAAGTCTCCTTCTCCAGAATTGAACCCTAATTCCCTGTCACCCGTGGTCACCATGGTAGGCACAGCGACTACCATAGAAAGTTGATAGGGCAGACGTTCGAATGGGTCATCGCTGCCACGGGGGGCATGCGATTGGCCTGAGGTTATCCAGAGGCACCAAAGCTGGCGGCACCCGACCCCCTGGCCGGGGCCGGAGAGGGGCTGACTGGGTTGGTTTTGATCTGATAAATGCATGCATCTTCCCCGTGAAGGGGGTCAGTGCCCTTCGGCATGTAATAGCTCTAGAATTACCACAGTTTTCCAAGTAGAAGAGGAGCCAGCGACCAAAAGAACCATAACTGATTTAATGAGCCATTCACAGTTTTACTGTACCGGCCCTGCATACTTAGACATGTATGGCTTAATCTTTGAGACAAGCATATGGTTCTGATAGAATCAACCAGGTAGGTAGAAAGCGGCCTCTGGGACTCGCGAGGATGAGCCCGGCGTCCCAGTTGCGAGATTGGGCGTGGCAGGGCGGGCGATGGGGCGTGGGGTAGGGAGGGAGGAGCTCCGGGTGGTGGG
>NC_000014.9:16022637-16053976 GCF_000001405.40 Homo sapiens | reverse complement strand
GAGGGCAAGGGCACCTGGAAGCCCGCAGAGGGGCGGCTCGGGGAGAAACCTCAGGCATGGCCGGGCCACCAGGAAAACACGGCCACGGGATCCCACCACCACAGACACGAGGGAGGTCCCGCAGTGACCCGCCTAGGATGCCGGATGGCCCTCGGCACCCACCAAGACCCGCCTCATGAGCCCCGGGTCCCGCCATCAGGACCCCGAGGCGACCTCAGCCACAAACCCAACGCCAGGGCCACGTTGCTCGTTTCTCATCCATCCTCCAACCCGGTCAAGCTCCAGGAGACCGACATGCCCCCCACTTGGGATGCTTCCCAGGGCCAGGTGGCCCAACCTCGTGCCACGCAAACGCGGTCGTCGGCACCGGTCGCTGCTCTGCAGGGGAGCGGGCAGAGAGCCGGCTCACAGCGGAATGGGTCACAAGCTGGACTGAACGCCAGGCACAGCCACCGCTCACGCAGCCTCCCAAATGCTAGGACGCCGGCCCGGCCCGGCCCGGCGGGATCCTCCCCCGACTCGGAAGGGGGAGGCGCGGGCCACACAGTAGGCGACGAGCTTCCCTGGGTCCCCACCGTGGAGGCTGGCGGAACCCTTGCTCTCCCCCCCTCACCCCATCAAGGGGGCAGTGGAGGAGGGTCCTCTGCAAGCCAGTCGCCACGGCAGCGCTACCATAACGCAGAGAGAGGCGGCAGGCCGGGGGATCCGGTACCCCAAAGGCACACCTCTCAGATCGCTAGAGAAGGCTTTCTCACTGAGGGTGAGTCACAGTTCCCACATGCCAGTCGCCCCTCGTCGGGCCCGCAGAGGCGCGCAGGGACGCCTGGGGAAGGGAGGGGGCCTGCGGTACCAGGAAAAATCTGCGTGCGGCAACCTTGAGCCTTCGCGGTCTGGGCAGGGGGCCTGGCCGCTGCACGTGTGCGCAATCCCACAAGGGCCCCCCCGTCGACCAGCCTCCTTTCTCCCAGGCAAAGCACCTCCAAGTAAACCCACACACAACCTGTCGGAGGCAGAACGGTAGCCCCTCGGCTGCCGGACGGCGCACGCGTCATCTGACCCAGCCCACCGCAATAGCTCACACGGCCCGCGCGCACCCGCCAGAGAGGAGCACGGGCCCTGCGCTCGCCAGATCAGGCAGCACTCTTCCCCGCGTGGGAGGAGCGCGTCTCACTCAACCGCCTCAACCCCTACACCAACGAGCTCCCTCAGGACCCACTCGTGGACATCGCGGCGGTGACCGGAGGAGGGGGCGCTGAGGGTGGGAACCACACACCACCGCTCGACCTCGGGCACCTGAGGGATAAGCTGGGGGATGAAGGGGAGGAGCCGGGCTTGGTAGGCTCACGCCTGTCATCCCTGCACTTTGGGAGGCAAGGGAAGGTGGATCCCTCGATCCAAGCCTTGGCAACATGGTGAAACCTCTTCTCTAAAAAAATACGAAAACTAACTGGTTTCATAAACTGGACTCAAAGTTAATAAATAGATAAGTAGGCCGGGAGCTGTGGCTTACGCCTGTAATCCCAGCACTTTGAGAGGCCGAGGCAGGCGGATCACGACGGTCAGGAGATCGAGACCATCCTGGCTACCACAGTGAAACCCTGTCTCTACTCAAAATACCAAAAATTAGCCAGGCGCTGTGGCAGATGCCAGTAGTCCCAGCTACTTGGGAGGCTGAGACAGGAGAATGGCATGAACCCGGGAGGCAGAGCTTGCAGTGAGCCGACATCATGCCACTGCACTCCAGTCTGGGCAACAGAGTGAGACTCCATCTCAAAAAAGAAATAATAATAATAGATTAAAATTGAAAATTTATAAAAAACGTAGCTGGCAGGGCTCAAATGTTCACGCCTGTCATCCCAGCACTTTGGGAGGCCGAGGTGGGCAGATCACCTGAGGTGGCCAGTTTGAGACCCGCCTGACCCACATGGAGAAATGCCGTCTCTACTAACAATACAAAATCAGCCGGGTGTGGTGACACATGCCTGTAATCCCAGCTACTCAGGAGGCTGAGGCAGGAGAATCGCTTGAACACGGGAGGTGGAGGTTGCGGTGAGCCGAGATGGTGCCATTGCACTCCAGCATGGGCAACAACAGTGAAACTCCGTCTCAAAAAAAAAAAAAAAAAAAATTAAGCACTTTATTCTGTTATTTTTACTTCCTACCCAGAGAAGAATATAATACAACTGTTGTCTGTCTGCCTGCCTGCCTGCCTGCCTGTGACAGGGCCTCACTCTGTCTTTCTCCCAGACTGGAGTGCAGTGACACCATTATGGCTCACTCACTGCAGCCTCAACCTCCCCAGGGTTAGGCGATTCCTCAAGGGATCCTATGGCCTCGGCCTCCCAAAGTGTTGGGGTTACAGGCGTGAGACACCAGCACCCGACCTGAGTTAATACATCTGGTCTCACTATGTCTTAACCACACACCCATGAAGAACTCAAGTCAAGAGAGAGTTTGTAAGAGACTCTCAGCATTCTCTCCCGAAAGCAGTGAGGTGGATGGCAGCCATGTGTCCCGAGCTCCTGTGGTTTTAGGTGGCCGTGCGTAGAGGAGAGATTTCCAATGTTTCCAGAGATGCGCGAGCCACAGTCATTCGGGGCATCCGAGCGCGAGATGAGGTTTCTGACAGCGACTTAAGGGCCAGAAGGGCCAGAATCTGCCAAGGCAAGTGTCCCAGGGTGGGGCCGATGGAACCCAAGGTAGAGGGAGTCAGCAGTCCACACAGAGAGAGCTCCAGCCTTAGGACCCACTGTGCAGACCGAATCAGAATGAAGAGAGTCCTTCGTCCTATATGCCACATCCCTCCACTGAACTTAAGAGTGGATCTGTTTTCCAAACATGAGGTGACTCTCACTTTGCCATGGATCACAAGGGGTTGGGCTTTCCAGAGTCGGCAGGCTAAAGAAGTCATTCTGGCTCAGCCTCCCCCATCCCCTGGTAACTGGTGAGTTTATTTATTATTTTTATTTTTATTATTATTATACTTTAAGTTTTAGGGTACCTGTGCACAATGTGCAGGTTAGTTACATATGTATACATGTGCCATGCTGGTGTACTGCACCCACTAACTCATCATCTAGCATTAGGTATATCTCCTAATGCTATCCCTCCTACCTTCCCCCACCCCACAACAGTCCCCAGAGTGTGATGTGCCCCTTCCTGTGTCCATGTGTTCTCATTGTTCAATTCCCACCTATGAGTGAGAATATGCAATGTTTGGTTTTTTATTCTTGCGATAGTTTACTGAGAATGATGATTTCCAGTTTCATCCATGTCCCTACAAAGTACATGAACTCATCATTTTTTATGGCTGCATAGTATTCCATAGTGTATATGTGCCACAATTTCTTAATTGAGTCTATCATTGTTGGACATTTGGGTTGGTTCCAAGTCTTTGCTATTGTGAATAATGCCGCAATAAACATACGTGTGCATAAGTCTTTATAGCAGCATGATTTATAGTCCTTTGGGTATATACCCAGTAATGGGATGGCTGGGTCAAATCGTATTTCTAGTTCTAGATTCCTTTGCCATCCCCATCAAGCTACCAATGACTTTCTTCACAGAATTGGAAAAAACTACTTTAAAGTTCATATGGAACCAAAAAAGATCCTGCATCGCCAAGTCAATCCTAAGCCAAAAGAACAAAGCTGGAGGCCTCACACTACCTGACTTCAAACTATACTACAAGGCTACAGTAACCAAAACAGCATGGTACTGGTACCAAAGCAGAGATATAGATCAATGGAACAGAACAGAGCCCTCAGAAATAATGCCGCATATCTACAACTATCTGATCTTTGACAAACCTGAGAAAAACAAGCAATGGGGAAAGGATTCCCTATTTAATAAATGGTGCTGGGAAAACTGGCTAGCCATATGTAGAAAGCTGGAACTGGATCCCTTCCTTACACCTTATACAAAAATCAATTCAAGATGGATTAAAGACCTAAATGTTAGACCTAAAACTATGAAAATACTAGAAGAAAACCTAGGCATTACCATTCAGGACATAGGCATGGGCAAGGACTTCATGTCTAAAACACCAAAAGCAATGGCAACGAAAGCCAAATTTGACAAATGGGATCTAATTAAACTAAAGAGCTTCTGCACAACAAAAGAAACTACCATCAGAGTGGACAGGCAACCTACAAAACTGGTGAGTTTAAATGAGCTAAGGCTGGCAAGGCCAGAGCTGCTACGGGGGGGAGGGGGGTGGGCGGGGTGGGGGAGTGCCTGAGGCACTGCAGAAAGTGGGTCTGAGCCTCGAGGATGACGGTGCTGCAGGAACCCGTCCAGGCTGCTATATGGCAAGCACTAAACCACTATGCTTACCGAGATGGGGTTTTCCTCGCAGAATGCCTTTATGCAGAAGTACACTCAGAAGAAGCCTTGTTTTTACAGGCGACCTGTTCTTACCGCCCAGAAAAGGCCTATAAAGCATATAGACTCTTGGAAGGACACAGTTGTCCTACACCGCAATGCAAATACCTGCTTGCAAAATGTTGTGTTGATCTTAGCAAGCTTGCAGAAGGGGAACAAATCTTATCTGGTGGAGTGTTTCATAAGCAGAAAAGCCATGATGATATTGTTACTGAGTTTGGTGATTGAGCTTGCTTTCCCCTTCCATTGTTGGGACATGTATATTGCAAGACAGATTGGCTTGCCAAAGGATCAGAATGTTACCAAAAGAGCCTTAGTTGAAATCCTTTCCTCTGGTATCCCTTCGAATCATTATGTGAAATAGGTGAAAAGCCAGATCCTGCCCCCAAACATTTAAATTCACAACTTCACAGAACTTTAGCAACTGTCTGCCCAACTCTTGCACAGCACAAATACCTAATCATAGTTTATGTCACAGACAGCCTGAGACTGTTCTCACGGAAACACCACAGGACACAACTGAATTAAACAGATTGAATTTAGAATCTTCCAATTCAAAGTACTCCTTGAATACAGATTCCCAAGTGTCTTCTATTGATTCAGCTGTAATTTCACCTGACACTCTCCCACTGGGAACAGGAACTTCCATATTTTCTAAACAGGTTCAAAATAAACCAAAAACTGGTCGAAGTTTATTAGGAGAACTAGCAGCTCTTAGTCCATTAACCCCAAGTTTTGGGATTTTGCCATTAGAAACCCCAAGTCCTGGAGATGGATCCTATTTACAAAACTACACTAATACACCTTCTGAAATTGATGTGCCATCCACCGGATCCCCTTCAAAAAAGTCTGTTGCTAGAATCGGCCAAACTGGAGCAAAGTCTGTCTTCTCACAGAGTGGAAATAGCCGAGAGGTAACTCCAATTCTTGCACAAACACAAAGTTCTCGTCCACAAATAAGTACATCACCTCAGGTATTGAGCCCCACTATGGCATCTCCCCCAAATGTGCTGCATTGAAGAAGTTCACGACTCTTTACCAGTGACAGTTCCACAACCAGGGAGAATAGGAAGAAATTAAAAATGAAGTTTCCACCTAAAATCCCAAACAGGAAAACAAAAAGTAAAACTAATAAAGGAGGAATAACTCAACCTAACATAAATGATAGCCTGGAAATTACAAAATTGGACTCTTTCATCATTTCACAAGAGAAAATATCCACAATCACACCTCAGATTCAGGCTTTTAATCATAAAAAGCAGCAGCAGAAGGCTTGATGAGCCTTCTTCGTGAAAGGGGAAAAGGTTATTTAGCTTTGTGTTCATACCACTGCAAAGAAGCTATAAATATTTTGAGCCATCTACCTTCTCACCACTACAATACTGGTTGGGTACTGTGCCAAATTGGAAGGGTCTATTTTGAACTTCCAGAGTACATGCAAGCTGAAAGAATATTCTCAGAGGTTTGAAGGATGGAGAATTATAGAGTCGAAGGCATGGAAATCTACTCTACAACATTTTGGCATCTTCAAAAAGATGGTGCTCTTTCAGTTCTGTCAAAAGACTTAACAGACATGGATAAAAATCCTCCAGAGCCCTGGTGTGCTGCAGGGAACTGTTTCAGTCTGCAATGGGAACACGATATTGCAATTAAATTCTTCCAGAGAGCTATCCAGGTGGATCCAAATTATGCTTATGCCTATACTCTATTAGGGCGAGAGTTTGTCTTAACTGAAGAATTGGACAAAGCATTAGCTTGTTTTTGAAATGCTATCAGAGTCAATCCTAGACATTGTAATGCACGGTAAGTGGTAATGAAGTGTAAAGACAAAGTCTTGTAGATGGTGCTGGTAGTCACTAATTTTTCTTGTTAGATAGCTCTTTTATTGTCATGAATTTGGTTACTAATATTTAGGGATGGTACATACTGGTCAATAACTTCAAACTAACATGTTTTCTTAGGAAATGTATGTCTTTAACAAAATCTTCAGTTAACTAATGATAATAGAATACCAGATCCTTATACTGAACAGTTTCAGTCTTCTACCAAACTTTTGCAGATACTGTAATTGTGTTTTATTTGTTTGTATGCTTGTTTAGTTTTGTTACTTGATTTGTTACTTTTTCTTCGAACAGAGAAATGGTGATTGGGACAAAAAGTGCTTGGGAAATTGGAAAGGAATAGCATAATTCACTTATTGGATAATAGAAAAAAACACTGAAAAAATTCACTAGTTGCTGCTTTTTGAAAGTGTTCCAGTTTATTGAGTTACTATTAAGAACTTAGTATACCCTTTTATTTAGCAGTATCTCTGTTTTCCTTTTTTTACTTCTGTATAAGTAGATACATAGGAAATTACTATCCAGGTCATATTGTTATCAACTGAATAACATACGAAAAAGTTTGGTCCTACATCTGCCTCAACACCATAATTACTGTTGACATTTATTGTATTTTTCTGGACTGACTTAAAAGTTTAAATATCAAGAGAAGGCCAGGCAAGGTGGCTCATGCCTGTCATCCTAGCACTTTGGGAGGTCAAGTCGGGCGGATCACGAGGTCAAGAGATCGAGACCATCCTGTCCAACATGGTGAAACCCCGTCTCTATTAAAAGTATAAAAATTAGCTGGGCATGGTGGCGGGCACATGTAGTCCCACCTACTCAGGAGGCTGAGGCAGGAGGATCGCTTGAACCCGGGAAGTGGAGGTTGCAGTGAGCCAAGATTAAGCCATTGCACTCCAGCCTGTGTGACAGAGCAAAACGCCGTCTCAAGAAAAAAATAAAATAAAATAAATAAATTAATAAATAAATATCAAGAGAAAGTATAATTCTGAAGTCATAACTCTGTGGAAGCTTTTTTGTCAGATACGATTATCTTTGGGGGTAATTTTTATAGCAGTCGAGTTTTAACACTTGATTTGCTTCTAAATCTGAAGCATTACATTACTAAAACATTTTTTGATTTGTGACTATATTGTTTAATGGATTATATCTCATTTTGCGGTAGTAGTTGCAGTGTCTGAAAGATTGCCAAAAAAATAGTGCTAGTTTTGCTGACAAATGTAACAATCAACTTACCAAGACTGCCTTCTCTTCCGATAGCTATGTTCTCCATAATACTTTAAGAACTCAGTTCTTCATAAGACTTGTGTTGTTTTTGCTTTTTTCCCAAGTCTGGTTGAACCGTGTGTTGTTCTTTTTTAAAAGTGTATTGTCTGTTCAGCTATTCTGCAGGAGTCGCATTCTTAAAAACCTTAACCATATCAAAAATTGTGTTTAAAGGAGGATTATTCAGATTGGCCAACTTTTACTAGGAGGAGTTTAAATGCTGACATATTTAGGTAGCTCTAAATACTGAGCAACTTTATTCTAACTACAAAATAGATAGCCTTTCTTTTGTTTTCACTTTCACTATCATTAGCACCGTGTTTAATACCTTTTCTTCATCTATAACACAATTATAACCATATATAAAGCCACTCAAATAAAGCAGATATATTGAGCTTTAAAAAAAATAAGAAAGAAAAAAAAAGAAGTCATTATGTGGCACACAATGAGGTGTGACTCGAATCTGGAATCTCCAGTGAAAACCAATGAAACAGGGTCAAACCCCGTGTGTACTAAAAATTTAAAAATGAGCCTGGCTTGGTGGCACTGAGGCAGGAGAATCACTCGAACCCAGGAGGCAGAGGTTGCAGTGAGTTGAGATCACGCCACTGTACTCCAGCCGTGGGGGACAGAGCAAGACTCCATCTCAGAAACAAACAAACACACAAAGCCAATAAAGGTATTTCACTCAACGTGTCAGGCTCAGGTCTCTTGACAGGATACATCCAGCACCCAGGCAAACGTCGAGGGGTGGGGTGGAATCTATTTTGTGGCCTCAAGGAAGGGTTTGAGAGATAGTCCCGCAAACGTGACGGCCTAAGGAAGCCCCTCCGCCCAAGAAGCGATATTCATTTGTGTCCTGTAGCCACCCACGAGGGAGAATCGGGCTCTCTACAGACACCCCAACCCTCACCCCACCCCACCCACCCCGCCTCATGAAAAGAGCTCTTGCTCCGTCAGGCTCTATTCACGCCCTGTGGTTTTGTAACCTCCAGTGTGTATGCGTGGGTTGCGGGGTGGGGTGGGAGCGGCTCTAGACAGAGGAGGGGATAAAGCGGCAGTGTTCCGAGGGTTCCAGGGACGTGGGACGTGAGTGGGGTGGCCAGAGCCTAGTTAACTCATCGCCTGTCAGGACATCTCACCTCCTGGTCCCCTCTCTGACCTATGCTCCACATCTTTGCAGTTCAGTGGGGACCTTGTGGGTGGAAGTCGCAATCCCTTTCTACTTTAGCCTACGAAGGCCGGGCTCCCAAGAGTCTCCCTGGAGTCGGGGCCTTGGGCAGGCTCACAAGGATGCTGACGGTGACGGTTGGTGACGGTGATGTAAGTTGGAGGCCTCGGGCCAATGCAGAGGTATCCATTTGACCTCGGTGGGACAGGTCAGCTTTGCAGAGTCCCATGCGTCCTTCCAGAGACTCATCCAACGATAGCAAGCATGGTCCCGAGGATCCCAGCTCCCAGCAGAGGCACTTTTGTTCACACAGAATCCTGGGCAGGAAAGTTCTCAGCAGGTTTAGGCCTCCTAGACAAAAAGTCAAAGCCACTTCTGGGATTTTTTTTTCAAAGAGCCAGTGGTTCCACAAGGGGCCATGGGTAGTTGTGGAAATGGAGAGACGTGTTTGCAGATACATATTTGAGACAAAACGGACAGGGCTCGGTCACAGTTCATGTAGAACACGAGCAGATGCACATTAAGAAAACCCTCCCAGTATCCTAGGTGAACAGAGGTATGATTTTTTGAGACAGTCGAGGGAGACGCAACGCCAGATTTTATGGTTGGATCTTTATTAATATGTAGTATCTATGAGGTATCCAAGTCCAGAAATCAACTCGCCAGTTCTGTACAGCACTCTGTAGGGAGATCAAATCTGGGATGTCTAAAGTTAAGAATTCAGGTCGTGGTAATGGACTAGATTAGATGTACTTGAACATATTTTGCAAAGAAAGAGAGGGCGGGAGATAGCGAGAGCCAGAGAGCGGGCGAGAGAGAGAGAGAGAGAGAGAGAGAGAAAGACAGAGACAGAGAGAGACAGACAGAGAGACACAAAGATACACAAAGAGAGAAAGACAGAAAGAGAGAGACAGACAGATAAAGACACAGACAGAGAAAGACAGAGATGGACAGAGACAGAGAGAAACAGAAAGAGACAGAGACAGAAAGAGAGAGAGACAGACAGACAGGCAGGCAGACAGTCAGAGAAAGAGAGTAAGACAGAAGGCAGAAACACACACACACACAGAGACAGAGACAGATGGACAGACAAAGAGAAAGAAAGAGAGAGACAGACAGAGAGAAAGAGACAGAGAGAGAAAGACAGAGACAGACAGAGGGAGACAGAGAGAAACAGAGACAGAGAGAGAGAGAAACAGGCAAGGAGAGAGAGAGACAGACAGACAGGCAGAGAAAGACAGTAAGACAGAAGACAGACACAGAGAGAGACAGGCGGAGAGTGACAGACAGAGAGACAGAGACAGAGAAACAGACAGGCAAAGAGAGAGAGAGAAAAAAACAGACAGACAGGGAAAGAGAGAGAGACCTACAGGCAGACAGACAGGCAGAGAGAGAGACAGAGACAGCGAGACAGAGAAAGAGGGAGACAGACAGACAAAGAGACAGACAGAGAAAGACAGAGACGGACAGAGAGAGACAGAGAGAAACAAATAGAGAGAGACAGAGAGAGAGAGAAAGAGAGAGAGAGACAGACCGGCAGAGAAAGAGTAAGACAGAAGACAGACACAGTGAGAGAGACAGGCAGAGAGAGAGACACACAGAGACAGAGAGACAGAGAAAGAAAGAGAGAGACAGACAGAGAGACAGACAGAGAAAGACAGAGATGGACAGAGAGAAACAGAAAAAGAGACAGAGAAAGAGACAGAGACAGAGAGAAACAGACAGGGAGAGAGAGAGAGACAGACAGACAGAGAAAGGGAGTAAGAGAGAAGACAGACACAGTGAGAGAGGCAGGCAGAGAGACAGAGAGAGAGAAATAGACAGGCAAAGAGAGAGAGACAGAGAAAGAGAGAAAACGGATAAAGAGAGAGAGACAGAGAGAGGAGGAGGAAGGGCATGCTCAGGAAATAATTACACATATTTTATAAGGCTTTTGATCCCATAAACGGTGGCCGGGGTGTGCTTTGAAAACAACAACAACAACAGCAGCAAGAGCAGCAGCAGCAGCAAGAGCAGCAGCAGCAATCGCTTACGGATTTCTAGAACATAAGATGTTCTGAAGTCTAGTAAACATCAACCGGCTCTCACTATACGTTCAGAGATTCACAAAATCGTTAGTTAACAACAGGTGAAAACCGCAGCTAACATGTCTTGGGGAAAATATACGTCTTCCTGAAAACTGGGGATTTCTATTTCATCTAAAAAGAAATACATAAGAAAAACGAAAAACACGAACAAAACAAAACAAGCCAACAAACACAGGCCAAGGCACTGTCCCTGGAAATCTTAAGTGAGCAAAGTATTAGTTTTCAGAAAGCATTTCTATTTTGGGCAAATACTAATAAGGCCCAGACTAGAGCTGTGACGTCATTCCCACTGTGAAACTATGCTGGCCCGAGGGCGGAGAAACTAAAACATCATGATAAAAGGTGATAGAGACCCAGCCAGGGTGAAGCTTTCCTAGGGAGGGAGGCCTGAAGAGGGAAGCATGGGAAAAAACCCACAACTGAAGACACGCCCGCTTACCCAGGCGGGTCAAGGGCTATGCCATCGGCCCAAGCTGCCTCTGGGGAAGTGGGACCGGGCCACCCCCATCTTCAAAAACAGTGGCCACTGAGTGAGGCCTGAAGCCCACCGATGCAAATGTCAGCCTGGCAAGAATGAGATCGCCGGCAAGGGGTGGGGGAAGGGGAGAGAAGACGGAGGCACACAGGGGTGGCTCCGGAAGGTTTCCAAGCAGGGTGTTGGGAGGCGGGGGGTGGGGAGTTTGGGTGGAACCCACCTAACTGACTCACTAAATGAAGGTAAAGGGACGTGGGTAGTGGGGGGAGCCGGGGCGGGACTTGAAAATTAAACTGACCCCTCCTAAAACCCAAGTAGAAGAGTCTATGCGCATGAAAGAAACCAAAACAGAAAGAAAACTAAAGCGCTGATCAAAGAACAATAGGGCCCCCTGCAGGGCGGAGGTTCCCTAGGCAACGAGGGAGAGAGGGAGGGGTCTCCAGAAGGGAGAGACAGAAACCGGTTGCCCCAGGTTCGGTGAAGTCGGCCAGACCTCTCCCCGTGTCACCTCGACTTTCAATAACAGTGGCTGCTAGGTGATGCCCAAAGACAACCGATGCCTGCAAGTGTCAGTCAGCAGGGAAAAGAATGCATTTATTTATTTATTTATTTATTTATTTAGAGACAGAGTCTCACTCAATCTACAGCCCAGGCTGTAGTGCAGTGGCGCGATCTCGGCTCCCTGCATGCTCCGCCACCCAGGTTCAAGCGATTCTCCTGCCTCAGCCTCCCGAGTAGCTGGCATTACAGGCGCCTGCCCCACCGCGCCCGACTCAATTTAGTATTTTTAGTAGAGATGCGTTTTCGCAGTGTTGGCAAGGCTGGTCTCAAACTCCCAACCTCAGGTGATCCACCCGTCTCGGCCTCCCAAACTGCTGGGATGACAGACGTGAGCCACCGCGCCCGGCCTTAACCATGTATTTTTAAGTCGAGGAGCTTATCAGGGAAATACGAGAAGTAGGGACGCCACACGTGACAGAGAGAAACGTTTGAAAATGCCCCTTCCATCCAAGTGGGGACCCGGCCTTGACCTCCCGAAATCATACACCGAGTGGCGAAGCCTAGCAAGGCCCGTCTGTCTAGATTCCTCTCGGCCTCTCTAAGCAGGCGCTTCTCACTTTCGTGGAAGGGGCAGGGCCCTCCCCGGCAAAGGGGCTCTGACAGACTGACAGAGAAAGAGACAGACATAGAAAGACAGAGATGGACAGAGAGAGACAGAGAGAAACAGACAGACAGGCAGGGAGAGAGACAGAGAGAGAGAGAGACAGATAAGGAGAAACAAACAGAAAGAGAGAGAGAGACAGAGAGAGAAACAGACAGACACACAGAGACAGACAGAGAGAGACAGAGAGAAACAGAAAGAGAGAGAGATGGAGAGAGAGAGAAAGGGAGGGAGAGAGAGAGACAGACAGACAGGCAGAGAAAGAGAGTAAGACAGAAGACAGACACAGTGAGAGAGACAGGCAGAGAAAGAGAGAGACAGAGAAAGAAAGAGAGACAGAGATGGACAGAGAGAAACAGAAAGAGAGAGACAGAGACAGAGAAAGAGAGAGAAACAGACAGACAGGGAGGGAGAGAGACAGAGAGAGAGAGACAGACAGACAGAGAGACAGAAAGACGGAGACAGACAGAGAGAAACAGACAGAGAGAGAGATGGAGAGAGTGAGAGATAGAGAGGGAGAGAGAAACAAAGAGAGGGGGAGAGAGAGACAAACAGACAGGCAGAGAAGGAGAGTAAGACAGAAGACAGACACAGTGAGAGAAACAGGCAGATAGAGTCAGAGGCAGAGTCAGAGAGAAAGAGAGAGTCAGACAGAGAAAGAGACAGTCAGAGACAGACAGAGAGAATCAGCAAGAGAGAGAGAGAGTCAGAGGGAGAGAAACAGACAGGGAGAGAGAGAGACAGAGAGAGAGAGACAGACAGAGAGGCAGAGAAAGAGAGTAAGACAGAAGATAGGCACAGAGAGAGAGAGAAAGAGAGAGAGAGAAAGAGAGAGAAAGAAAGAGAGAGACAGTCCAGGCACGGTGGCTCACTCCTGCCATCCCAGCACTTTGGGAGGCCAAGGCGGGCGGATCACGAGGTCAGGAGATCAAGACCATCCTGGTTAACACGGTGAAATCCCGTCTGTACTAAAAATACAAAAAATTAGCCGGGTTTGGTGGCGGGCGCCTATAGTCCCAGCTACTCAGGAGGCTGAGGCAGGAGAATGGCGTGAACCTCGGTGGTGAAGCTTGCAGTGAGCCAAGATGGCACCACTGCACTCCAGCCTGGGTGACACAGTGAGACTCCATCTTGAAAAAAAAAAAGAAAGAGAGAGACAGACAGACAGAGGAGGAGACAGACAGAGACAGACAGAGAGAAACAGACAGAGAGAGAGACAGAGAGAGAGAGAAACAGAAAGGCAGGGAGGGAGAGAGAGACAGGCAGAGGAAGAGAATAAGACAGAAGACAGACACAGTGAGAGAGACAGGCAGAGAGAGACGGACAGAGACAGAGAGAAAGAGAGAGACAGACAGAGATGGAGAGAGAGACAGAGAGAAACAAACAGAAAGAGAGAGAGACAGAGAGAGAATGAGAGAGAGAGAGAGACAGAAAGGGAGGGAGAGGGACAGACAGAGAGAGAGACAGATGGGTAGAGAAAGAGAATAAGACAGAAGATAGGCACAGAGAGACAGACAGAGAGAGAGAGTGAGAGAGACAGACAGAGAGACTCAGAAAAAGAAATACAGAGACAGGCAGAGAGACAGAGAAAAACAGAGACAGACAGAGACAGAGAAAAACAGAGACAGACAGAGAGAGACAGAGAGAAACAGACAGAAAGAGAGAGACACAGAGAGAGACAGAAACAGAGAGGGAGGGAGAGAGAGAGACAGACAGGCAGAGAAAGAGAGAAGACAGACACTGTGAGACAGACAGAGAGAGAGAGACAGAGACAGAGAGAAAGAAAGAGACAGACAGACAGACAGACAGAGAAAGAGACAGATAGAGAAAGACAGAGATGGACAGAGAGAGACAAAGAGAAACAGACAGAAAGAGGGAAGGTCCTAGCCCAGTAGCGATACAGCGACTTTTCTTTCATTTTCTTTCTTTTCTGGTTTTCTTTTCTTTTTTCTTTTCTTTTCTTTCTTTCATTTATTTATTTATTTATTTGGAGACCAAGTCTCACTCTGTCGCCCAGGCTGTAGTGCAGTGGCGCCATCCTGGGTCACTGAAACCTCCGCCTGCGAGGTTCAAGCGATTCTCCCGCCTCAACCTCCCGAGTAGCTGGGATTACAGGTGCCTGCCCCACTGCACCCGACTCAGTTTCGTATTTTCAGTAGAGACGGGGTTTCACCATGTTGGCTAGGCTGGTCTTGAACTCCTGACTTCGTGAACCACCCACCTCGGCCTCCCAAAGTGCTGGAATGACAAACGTGGGCCACTGCATTCAGTGTACAGTGCCATTTCTTAGAAATCACTCATGGGAATGCACACTTATAGGTCATGTGTAGAGATTTTATTTATTTATTTGTTTGTTTGTTTATTTATTTATTATTTATTTATCTATTTGCACGGGAAGGTGGGGGGACGGAGTTTCGCTCTTGCTGCCCAGGCTAGAGTACAATGGCATAGGGGACTCAAGGAGTTAACCTATGGCAGAGACGACACATCATTCTGATTGTAAGGGCTGCAGCGAAAAGTGTCATGGCTCGTGCTTTTAAAGGCTGAAATCCCGGCGGCTCAGGCCTGTCATCCCAGCACTTTGGGAGGCCCAGGAAGGTGGATCACTTGAGGTCAGGAGTTCAATACCAACGTGGCCAACATGGAGCAACCCCGTCTCTACTAAAAATAGAAAAATTAGCCAGCTGTCGTTGTGCACGCCTGTAATCCCAGCTACCGAAGAAGAATCACTGGAACCCGGGAAGCAGAGGTTTCAGTGAGCCGAGAGAGCGCCACTTCACCGCAGCCTGGGTGACAGAGCGAGAGAGACTCAGTCCAAAAAAAAGAAAAGAAGAAAAAAAAAAAAAAGAACAGGCCCAAATACTGCATTGTAGCTGAATGTTCCCCCAAAAGGCCGGAAACCCCCTGACTCAGGTCCAGGAGGTGCTGTTTCCTTTCACTTCTCTCTCTCTCTCTCTCTTTCCCTCTCTCTCTCTCTTTCCCTCTCTCTCTCTCTTTCCCTCTCTCTCTCTTTCTCCCCTAACTTTCATTTCTTGTTCAAACATACATGTGCAAGATTGTTACATAGGTAAACTTCTGACGGGGGGGTTTCAGTGTGCAGATGATTTCATCAGCCGGATACTCAGCGCAGTACTCGACAGTTTTCATGTTTTGTTGTGTTTTGTTTTTTCCTGAAGCTGTCTTTCCTTCCACCCCTCCTCCCTCAAGTAGGCTCCCGCTTCTCTGGTCCTCCTCGTTCTGCCCACGCAGAACTCTCATCTATAAGTTCCCACTTATGGATGAGAACACGTGGTATTTAGCTGATTGTTGCTTTCATCTTCGGCGGTGGCGGTGAAAGAGGCATGACACTAAATCGACCCTTAGGACGCTCCCCTCCGTCCCCACCCCACACCACCTCCCCGCACACACCCTCATTCCTGCATCCCCTCCTCAAACGCAGGAAAGGAAGAAAGACAAATTAAAGTAAGAGGTCAGCCTCCAAGGCGATGGAGTCAGGGGATCTCAAAGGGTGAGCAAGCGATGGGGGTCGGGGGATGTCTTGGCTGAGCTTTCAACAATAGGGGACCGAGTTTCCAGCCCCACCCACACCCCCTAATCCTCAGCCGCAGCCAGCCTCTGGGTGGGGTTGCGCCTGTAAAACTTCTGAATGGAGAGAAGCCCAAGGCGATGGAAAGCATCAGCTCCAACTCCAGGAAGGAAATAGGGCTTTGTGCATTTGAATGGGGCTTTAGAAGGCCGTGCTGCGGCTTCCAAAGTGATGCACCTCGCCTAGCCTCACCTCGCCTCGCCTCACCTCGCCTCGCCTCCCCTCGCCTCGCCTCGACCAGAGCGAGACTCCGTCTCAAAATCAATCAATCAATCAATCAATCAATAATAAAAAAATTCATCAATGAAAGAAAGAAAGAAAGAAAGAAAGAAAGAAGAAAGAAAGAATTAGTACAGCGGTCATGTTCGTGAATCATTCCCCGGAGTCCAGGCGCAGTGGCTCACGCCCTTCACGCCAGCACTTTGAGACGCCGGGTCAGGAGGGTTGCAACAAAATGATGAGACCCTGTCTGTGGAAAAACATTTAAAAATGAAGGCCAGGAGCAGTGGCTCACGTCTGCCATCCTGGCACTTTGGGAGGCCGAGGAGAGCAGATCACCTGAGGTCGGGAGTTCGAGACCAGCCTGACCAACATGGAGAAGCCCCGTCTCTACTAACAATACAAAATCAGCCAGATGTGGTGGCGCATGCCTGCAAACCCAGCTACTCGGGAGGCTGACGCAGGAGAATCGCTTGAACCCAGGAGGCAGAGGCTGCAGTGGGCCAAGATCGCGCCATTGCACTCCAGTCTGGGCAACAAGAACGAAACTCTGTCTCGGGAAAATAAATAAATAAATACATAAAAATGATCTGGGCACAGTGGCGCATGCCTGTGGTCCCAGGTACTCTACTCTGGAGGCTGAGGTGGAAGGATCACTTGAGTCCAGGAGCTTCCACACTGCAGTGAGTGAGTTATGATGGCACCACTGCCAGGGTGACAGAGCGAGACGCTGTCTCTAAATCAGTCAATCAATCAATCAGATCACTAGAAGGCGCTGTATGTGTCTTACTTTCAAAGGGTCTCTCTTTAGGCCAAGCAGGCGTGGTGCCTCACGCCAGTAATCCCAGCACTTTGGGAGGCCGAGGCGGGAGGAAAGAAGGAAGGGAGGAAGAGAGGAAGGGAGAAAATAAGAAAGGCAGGAAGTCAGTCAGGCAGGAAAGAAAGAAAAAAATAAAGAAAGAAAGAAAGAAAGGGAAAGAAAGAAAGAAGAGAAAGAAAGAAAGAGAGAAAGAAAGAAAGAGAGTGAGAGAAAGAAAGAAGAAAGAAAGGAAGGAAGAAGAGAGAAGAAAAAAGAAGAGAGAAAAGAAGAAAAGAAAAGAAAAGAAAACGGGGAGGGGCATATCTCTTTGACTAGTGACTACCCAGGATACAGCTGACTGAAACCTCGACCTGTGGGGCCTCAAGTGATCTTCTCCTTGTCTCAGCCTCCTGAGTAGCTGCGACTACAGGTGGGTATCAGCACGCACAACACATCTTATAACAATATTATGATTATTATTGAGACAGAGTCTCACTTTATCTCAATAATTGCCATGGCACGATCTCAGCTCACTGCAACCTCGGCCTCCCTGGTTCAAGCAACTCGCCCGCCTCTGTCTTATGAGTAGTTGTGATTACAAACCTATGCCACCAGTTCCTGGCTAATTGTTCTATTTTTCATAGAGATGGGGTTTCACCATGTTGGCCAGTCAGGTCTTGAACTCCTGGCCTCAAGTGATCCACCCACCCTTGCCTCCCAAAGTGCTGGAATGACAGCCGTGAGCCACTGTGCCCGGCCCAGATAATCTTTTTAATAAATTGTAAAGAAGGGGTTTCGTCAGCAGCTGGGTGGAGGGTGGGGTGGGTTTTACTCAGACTGCGTACTGTGAAAAGTGTAAATTAGTGTGGTTTGTGAACTAGATGTGGAAATTGTGTGTGTGTGTGTGTGTGTGTGTGTGTGAGAGAGAGAGAGAGACGAATCCCACCATGAGGACCCGGAAATGGTGTTTGATTTGGGTCCCTGTCTACTCACCTCTCTGTCTGTAGATGACTGAGGATTCCACAAATGAAGGTCAGCAGTATCTATTGAGCTGTTTCTCCCTCTCATGGGTCTCATCTGTGTGGTGGAGAAAGGGAAGAAAAGAGGTTCTGATGGGAAGTTGTCTTCATGCCTGAGGAAGCTGAAGGCAGGCTGAGGGAAAGGAGGGCATCCTATGTGACATTTCCATACCTGCGCACCCTTTACAATGCTGGGGCTGCCAGTCCACCCTGTACGTCAACCCACCCCCAAGAACAGCATGGTCCGGGGTGATCCAGTCCATCCCATCCGGCCCACCCGGGGCATCTGGTGGAAGTCTTCGCTGGAGGATTCGAAAGCAGCATTAACGTCGTTCCCTTGGGGTCGCCGGGCAAAGGCCAGCTGGAGGAGGGTGGCGGGATGTGAAGCGGGGCGGGGCATCGGCCTCAGAGCTCCCTGGAAGGTGGCAGGCAGCTGGTGGGGGACGCTGAGCCAGAGACGTCTGGCAGGATATAGATCTGGAAGCCGCGTCAGTCCTCTCCCATACCTCTCCCATGGAAAATCCCATCGCGGCGGTGGGAGCCTTGGCTGGGGGAGAAGCGGGGACAAGGGGGAGAGGGAAGGAGGCCCTCAGGAGGATTTAGCACCGAAAACCCACCCAGCCAAGCTCCCTCCCTCCTATGGGGTCCAAGGTACACCCTGGGAGGCGGCAAGAGAAACGTTCACCCCGTGCTTTTTGTCTTTCTCTTTATTTTTTTCATCTTTTCAATTTTACAAGAGATGCTCATTTCAACAACTAGACCGTGGATGTGACGGGAGAAGTGTCAAGGCCAGGAGTTTGAGACAAGCCCGAGCAACTGAGCAACACAAGTAGGAGAGCCCAGCTGAAAACAATGAAAAAAAGAAGGAGGAGGAGGAAGAAAGAAAAGAAAAGAAAGAAAAGAAAAAAAAAAAAGAAAAGAAAAGAAAAAAGGAAAACAACCACCAAGAAAGTTAAAATTCTCTAATGGTTCAGGCACAAAAAAGAGCGATTTCACGTCTTTTCCCACAATATGGATAGAGCTGGAAGCAAGTATGTACCCAGTGAACTGCTTTCTGCTTACAAGTGGGAGGTAAACAGTGGGTACGCACACGGTCATCAAGATGGAAATAGAAGACACTCCAAAAAGGAGGAGGAGGGTAAGAGGGGGACAAGGGATGAATAAATCACCTGTCAGAGACAATGTTCGCCACGTGGGTATCGGATACACTGGAGATCCACTTCTACAACCAGAGGCAGCAGTAGGCCGATCTAACAAACAAGCACGTACACCCCCTGAGTCTGTAAGATACCAAAACAATGACGACAGCACCACCAGCAGCAACAACAACAACAAAACAGAAGCTGGAACACAAAACCACCACCACCACAATCACCAGTTGGGGGTTGGGGGAGGGTGGCCGCGCTCGAGGCCCTCAGGCTCAGTCCCCTCGGGTTTAAAAAAGAAAACAGCAGACTCATTCCTGTCTGTAGGCAGGAAAAATCCAATCAAAGTTCTCCATTGCTAGAAAGGGAAGTAGAATAAGGAGAAGGGCTTATTGATCTTCTTGTGGTCGATCGAGACCATACGTGTAGTAAAAAATTAAATTCAGACAGGAATACTGTCTACACTGTTCAAAAGCATTGGAGATCAGACACACCACACTCCACGGGGCTTGTGCCACTAGAAAGAAAAGGCAGGCCGGGCGAGGTGGCTCACGCCTGTCATCCCAGCACTGTAGGAGGCCGAGGCGGGCAGATCACGAGGTCAGGAGATCGAGACCATCCTGGCTAACACGGTGAAACCCCGTCTCTACTAAAAATACAAAAAAATTAGCTGGGCCTGGTTTGGGCGCCTGTAGTCTCAGCTACTCAGGAGGCTGAAGCAGGAGAATGGCATGAACCAGGGAGGTGGAGCTGCAGTGAGCCGAGATAGCACCACTGCACTCTGGCCTGGGCAAAAGAGCGAGACTCCGTCTCAAAAAAAAAAAAAAAAAAAAAAGAAAAGCCAGGCATAGTGCTGCATGCCTGTAGTCCCAGCTACTAAGGAGGCTGTGGTAGAACAATCACTTGACCCAGCAGTTTGAGGCTGCAGTGAGCTATAATCATGCCACTGCACTCTGGACTGGGTGACAGGTGAAACCCTATCTCAAAACAAAGAACAACCAAAAACCTACAAGCATTCTCAGAGATAGTGGGTTTGGTTCCAGACAACCACAATAAGGTAAATGTTACAAACAAGTTAATCGCATAAACACTTTGTTTCCCAGTGCTTATAAAAGTTATGCTTAAACTATGTTGTAGTCTAATGAGTATTTAATAATTATTAATTAATTAATTAGTAATCGCATTATGTCTACAAAACTATGTACATACATTAACTTAAAATACCTCATTGCTGAAAAATACTAATGAATATCTGAGCCTTACCAAGTCATAAACTTTTTGCTGGTGAGTGAAGGGGTGGCCCACCCCTCCAGACTTGTAGGTATTTCTAGTCAGGTGGGACAAGAGACTGAGAAAAGAAGTAAGACACAGAGACATAGTATAGAGAAACAACAGTAGGCCCAGGGGACCGGCGCTCAGCATACCAAGGACCTGCACAGGCACCAGCCTCTGAGTTCCCTCAGTTTTTATTGCTTATTATTTTCATTATTTCAGCAAAAAGGAATGTAGTAGGAGAGCAGGGTGATAATAAGGAGAAGGTCAGCAAAAAACATGTGAGCAAAAAAATCTATGTCACAATTAAGTTCTAGGGAAGGTACTATGAGTGGACGTGCACGTAAGCCAGATTTATGTTTCTCTCCACCCAAACATCTCAGTGGAGTAAAGAATAACAAAGCAGCATTACTGCAAACATGTCTCGCCTCCCACCATAGGGCGGTTTTTCTCCTATCTCAGAATTGAACAAATGTACAATCAGGTTTTATACTGAGACATTCAGTCCCAGGGGCCAGCCAGGAGACAGTGGCCTTCCTCTATCTCAACTGCAAGAAGCTTTCCTCTTTTACTAATCCACCTCAGCACAGACCCTTAACGGGTGTCGGGCTGGGGGACAGTCAGGTCTTTCTCATCCCATGAGGCCATATTTCAGACTATCACATGGGGAGTAACCTTGGACAACATCCCGCTTTCAAGAGCAGAGGTCCCTGCGGCTTTCTGCAGTGCATTGTGCCCCTCGTTTATTGAGACTAGAGAATGGCGATGACTTTTACCAAGTATACTGCTTGTAAATATTTTGTTAACAAGGCACATCCTGCACAGCCCTAGATCCCTTAAACCTTGATTTCATACAACACATGTTTTTGTGAGCTCCAGGTTGAGTCACAAAGTGGCTGGGGCAAAGCTACAAATTAACTTCTCAGCAAAGCAATTGTTTAAAGTACAAGTCTTTTTCAAAATGGAGTCTCTTACGTCTTTCCTTTCTATATAGACACAGTAACAGTCTGATCTCTCTTTCTTTTCTCTTACAGTGAGGGTCTTGCCTCTATGTTGATGGCTGCTGACTGGTCAGTGTGGGGGCTGCTGAAGGTTGGGTGCTTTTGTAAATTTCTTAAAACAATGAATTTTGTTCCTTTCACAAAAGATTTACCCTGTAGCATGTGATGCTGTTTGATAGCATTTTATCCACAGTAGAACTTCTTTAAAAATTGGAGTAAACCCTCTCAAACCCTGCTGCTGCTTTATCAACTAGGTTTATGGAATATTCTAAATCCTTTGTTGTTATTTCAACAATGTTCGTAGCGTCTCCACCTGGAGTAGATTCCATCTCAAGAAAATATTTTCTTTGCTCATCCATAAGAAGCAACTCCCCAGATGCTCAAGTCTCATAATGAGTTTACAGCAATTTAATCTCATCTAAAGGCCCTAATTCTAATTCTGGTTGTCTTGCTATTTCTACCACATCTGTAGGGACTTCCTCCACTGACATCCTGAGCCTTCAAAGTCTTCCATGAGGGCTGGAATCAACTTCTTCCAAACTCCTGTTAATGTTGATATTTCAACCTCCTCCCATCAATCACAAATGTCCTTAATGGCATTTGCTATTAAGGACATTTATGATTCACACGAAGAGGTTGAAATATCATGAAAGGATTAATGGTGAAACCTTTCCAAAAGGTTTTCAATTCAGTTTATCCAGATTCATCAAAGAAATTACTATCTATGACAGATATACCTTTACAAAATGCATTTATTATTTAATAAAAACACTTGAAAGTCAAAACCACTGCTTGATCCACAGGCTGAAGGATAGATATTGTATTAGCAGCCATGAAAATAATATTAATTTCCAAGTACATCTCCATCTAAGCTTTTGGGTAGCTAGGTGAATTGTCAATAAGCAGCAATATTTTTCTTTTTTTTCTTTTCTTTCTTTTTTTTTTTTTTTGGCCTTTATGTAGTTTCCTTCTTGTTGCCCAGGCTGGAGGGCAGTAGCATTGTCTCGGCTCACCACAACCTCCACTTCCAGGGTTCAAGCCGTTCTTCTGCATCAGCCTCCCAAGTAGCTGAAATTACAGATACCACCACTATGCCTGGTTAATTTTTTTGTATTTTTATTAGAGACAGGGTTTCATCATTTTCACCAGGCTGGTCTTGAACTCCTCACCTCAGGTGATCCACCCACCTCGGCCTCCCAAAGTGCAGGGATTACAGGTGTGAGCCATTGTGCCTGGCCAAGCAGCAATCCCTTTAAAGGAATTTTTTTTTGTTGTTGTTGTTTTTTCTGAGCAGTAGGTCTCAATAGTGGGATTAAAATATTCAGTAAACCATGCTGTTAACAGATGTGTTGTCACTTGGACTGTAATGTTCCATTTCTAGAGCACAGAATGAATAGATTTTGCATAATTCTTAAGGGCTCTGAGATTTTCAGAGTGGTCAGTGAGCACTGGCTGTAACTTAAAGTCACCAACTGCAGTGGTCCTCAAAGAGAGTCAGCCCATCCTTTGAAGTTTTGAAGCCAAGTGTGGACATCTCTCTAGCCATGAAAATTTTACATCTTCACTAAGCTTATCATTTCTAGCTCTGGACTTCAAGTGAGAGACGTGAAATTCTTCCTTTCATTTGAGCTCTTTGAGGCCACTCTGGTTACTAATTAACACCCCCGGCAGGTGTCATCCTCCTCCCTCCTCAATCGAGTTCACCCACACCAGGGCATGGGGAACTGGGCTTGCCGCACCCCACAGGCCCTGCACGCCTGGGGCTCTCCCACAGGGGGCTTTCGTGAGCCAGGGAGCAAGGGCCGTCCCACCGCTCCAGCCTAGCCAGGCTGCGCAGGCAGAAGGAATCTCTCAACCTGCCCCGGCACGCTGGGATTTTGTGTTTGCTGCCCTGGCTCCTCTAGAAGTAGGACTGTCCCACCCTCAGACTCCTCGGTGGCCTCCGCACCCCCAAAAATGCCAGGAGGACCAGGACCCGCAGCACGGCGGCCTGCTGGGTGCATGCTCAGTGGGACAGCTTGGGTACCCTCAAGCTGAGTCACAGGGGCAAAGTATGTTTGCGCCACCCACGTCCCACCAGAGTCCGCGGTGGGGCTGGAGCCCCAGGTCGCCATGGCGGCGTGGGAAACCGAAGACGGGGCACCTCCACTTTCGAAGCTGGCGACCCCAGAGACCTCCGCGTCAAGCACATATGCAAGCCATCCAGGCACCTCCCAACCGCTCCAGGAGCCGGGGCGCTCGTCTACACTCACCCCCAGCCAGTTAGATGAGCTCCTGTAAACCCCAGAGTTCCAGCAAAAGGCACAACCTTTCCTAGATCCGGCGCCACTGGGGGAGCTGAAGGACGTGGAAGAGCCCGCTCCGCTGGAAGCACTCCTCAGCTAGGAAGAACAGCGGGCTGTGCTGGAGGAGCTTTAGGACGCGGGGTTGGGGCGGGGTAGGGGCAGGGCGGCGGCCTCTCTTTCGCGGTGAACCTCTGACTCGGTATGGAGAGGCGTGTCTTCCCTTCCAGCTGACCTGCCTAGGATCCCTGAGTTCCAGGTCGCGTGAGAGACTCCACTCAGAGGAGGGCTGTCATTCTTTTCTGAGCATCCCGGGGATCCCAGGGCCCCTCCAGGTACCGGGAGGCAGACTGTCTACTGCTCATGCGCGGATTAGCAGGCAGTAGCCTAGGTTTTCTAACTAGCCTAGGTGGAGCTCTCATCACTTCCCTCTTGCCCCCCACCGCGTTCTTCAGTGGGGAGGGCGGAGAACTCCATCCCGGGAAACACTGGCCCGGGCAGGCGCCAGGACTGCTCTTCTTTCCGCGTCTCGCCAACTCTGCCTCCCCGCCACACCGTCACTGGCCTACCCTTGCCCCGCCAGCTTCCTCGGCATCACCGTGGAGCGCCTGACAGCTAAATGCAGACCCGAGACCCCGGGCAAACCGGGGTGCTGCCCTTTCTACGCGGGAGGGAACTCAGGCAGAGATGGGGAGAGGAACGGAGACAGAGAGGGAGGGAACGATGGAGGGAGGAAAGAACGGATGGACCGAGGGACCTTGGAAAGGATGGAGGGATAGAAGGAAGGAGAGAGGGAAGGAGGGAGGGAGGGAGCGAAGGAGGGGGGGAGGAACTGCGGGAGGGACAGAGGGAAAGAGGGAGGGAGGGAGCAAGAAACAGAGAGAGGAAGGCAGAGAGAAAAGCAGTCTTCTGACTCCAGGACCACCAGGATCTTGCACTCCGGGAAAATGCTGGGTGCCCAGTGCAGGCTAAGTGCTCCGCCCACAGCCGCGTCGGCCTGCGGGGCTCTCACCGGCCCTCTGGATCGCCAGCCTGGGTTACTTCATCCGAGAGCGATTCAGCCGAATTTCGTCTCCCAAGGAATGAGGGAATTGCCCAGAGAGCAATGAGCCGAGACTCGGGTGATTGTCCATTTTTCATCCACATGGTTCACAGATGAGATAGCCCCACGTTGAGCCTGCAACGGAGCGCTAGGTGGATAGTCTCGTCCACACAGGAGTCACACTCAGGCTGACTGAAGCGTGGTTTCGGGTTCCACGTTCCTTTGCCTTCTGCAAGGGGACCTGTTGCTCATGCATCTCTGGCCCCCGAAAGCGTGACCATGTTGACTATTTGTTTCCCGAGCTCTCTGGGGACACAGAAACCTCCAGAGAACCGCGGAAAAGCAGCATCGTGTCTTCGCTCTCCTTTCCAGTTCCCTGTTTGGAAACAGGCCATAGTGGAGACTCCCCATGTTGCAGGAAACAGGAATCCCTCTTCAGGCCGTAATGCACCGGGCCTTTCTTTTCTCTGTAGTTTCGCTCTCGTTTTCTACATGAAAATGAATGAGATCCGTAAGGAATCAGAAAAGGATTTATAGCACACAAGTCTTGACAACTGTCACATTCCACTTTGAAATCACTCTGAGGTGAAACAACAATTTTCCAAGATTTAAAGAAAAATAGATTTTATAAAAGGGATTCTTTTATTCACTCAATACATCGTTTATGTTACTGACAGTAACAAGTGATATTTTTTCCACTATAATTTGCTCTGATGAAATAAATAATTCTTTTAATTCCTAATAAATGCTACATTTTCAAGACTAAAGGAATTATCAGTAGGCATTCTTTCTTCTTGATCTAAGTTATTTGTCTCTAAAATATGTCAAGTAAGCTTTTAAAGATTCAGGGAAGAGCAGCTTCATGATTTTTTTCTCTCAGTAAATTTTGAGGTGGCTTCTCTGGCTTCATCGCTTCACTGTGATCTTTTTCTTCCTCTTCTTTATTATTTTCTTCCATTTTTCATCCTCCTCACTGTCTAGAGGCTGAGGAATAAGCTGATTACCCACAAATACGTAAGTGGTAATTCTCTGTTTAACTCTCTTTCTTTTCCTTTTGGGTGGAGCCCTTTGAGGAATCCCCTTGGCCTGCATCTCATCATTTATGAAATTTCTAAGTGTGCATCAAATGTAAATACGAGCCAAGTCCTGTAGATTCCTGACAGTGATTCCTTACAGATTTGTAGTGGGGAGGGTTAGATTTAATTTTATATAAGGTTTGAATAATTGTTAAGCTTATGTAACCTGATCTGAATTTGCACTTCCTCTATGAAAACTTCACTTATCTAATAAGGAAATCAAATGCTTTGTAGACCTATTTACCTTACTTTTGTTGCAATCACTGTTGCTGGGTTGCTGTATATATATTCTGGGCAATATATGAGTGCAATAACAATACAAAATATTGAATAATTTAGCTTTTAAAAATCCCACAAATTTTATGGAATTTTACAGCCCTGCTACTTTTGCTTTTGAATCTCTTGCCAAATACACGAGTAAAATATCTGCTTCTCTCAGAGAGATTTTAAGAGCACAGCAAGTGAATTATTAAAATAGGAAGTATGTACTTAATACAACTCTTTATATGGACACTTTACATTTTCAGTATTTTAAAAAATGAGGTTACCTTAACTCTCTAGAATTTTAAAAGTATATTTAGAATTGTTTTTTCTGTAGTTCACTGTATAAAGTATTTGTTTTTTTTAAAAAAGCAAAACCATTGTTATGTGTGACACTTGATAGGCCACAGAACGAGTGAATGAGCATGAGTGAGGCCACTTTCTTAGAGGGCTGTAAGTAGCAGCGCCATGGTAGACCTGGTCAGCGGATGCACTTTAGCAGATGGAACTTCTAATTTATCTGAATATTTATCTTTGACAAGGTAGGGCTGAGCCTACATTTGTTTTGGAACTTTCTACTACAAGAAATATTCACAGAAATTGTATGTAGATACTCTTTGTTTGGAAAATCCTGTTCAGAATCCTAGTGTAATCTTTGGGACTTATGCCATGCTCATTTGACTTCTTCCCATACTTTTTATGTTTCTTTTGGTAAAACTATAATGGTTTTCATTTTTCACTTAATATCACACAATTAAACTGTCATATTTGAGTTTATTGTAACTTATCAGTGATAAAAAACAGATAGTAACTGCCATTGTTTGTTTCTTTGTTTTCCTAATAAGGCCTGAAAACAGCCATTCCTTGTTAAGAAAGTGTGCAGTGTAACATATTTGCTAGAGTTACATGGATTATATATTTCTTAAAGGGAAAAATTTGAGAGTATCATGGATTACCACCAGCATTATTATTATAGCAGTTGCTCAGATTTGGTTAAGGAAGCCCAATCAATGTATAGTGAAAGGATTATTTGCTCTCTGCTAAGATTCAGATATTGTTTAAAAAATCTCAGCTCCAATAATTCCACAACATCTAAAAACAAGTGTTTGTGATCATGTGTAAGCATGAAATTGTTCCAAGTAAGTGAGGATATTGTAGTTATGTGAAAGACAGTGTCAATGGAAGGTTATTTGTTTTATACCAGTGGCTGGGATGGTGGAATTGGGGTTATTTCTACAGTTATTCTTAGACGATTACTAAACTGTTAAGAAATGCCCCATATCATTTGTATCTAGGAAAGAAAAAAGTCAGTATCATACTGCTGTCATCTGTCAGAAGTGTTCATTTTATTTTGAATTAAACGTGGCTTTTTAAGTTACCTTGAATTCCTGGTGACCACATGTTTTTATCTGGAAAACCTGGGGAAAGTTATCTGTCCCATCTACCCTGCTGTTTTTGTTTTTTGTTTTTTGTTTTTTTGTTTTTTTTTTTCTCGGTTGGAGCTGCTGTTTAGATGATGCTTTTACTATGTAGGAGAGAGTTTTTGTTAAGGATATATTTGAAGATTGGCTTTTCCATATTGTCTTTCATTCTTTGACCTTGGCAAAGTGTACAGTAGATTTTCATGATCATTGCAGATTTCTTGTCATTGAAACGTATCTTTTATGTTTTTAAATGCATTCATTTTACACTCATGACTTTATCATTGACTTTAAGAGGTAGAAATAAAAAATGAAAATAAAAAAATCAATGAGATCCACACACCTGCGTGTGTGACTATCACGGCAATGGAGACACCCACAGGCATTGCCGGCTTCAGGGAGAGGGACTGGAAAACTCAAGACTATCATGGAGGTTCAGTTCCACACTCTACCCTTCCAGGGTGGTTTCTCCCTGAAATCGTGTGTGAACCCAGAGAGAAACTTCCAGTTTCTGTAGAATTCTGGAGAACTCAGAAAGCCAGTCCCAGAAGCCCCCCTTTCCCATCCGATCTGGCCCCACCTTCACCTACCACACAAGGCCCTGTGTCTGTGGTTTCTGGGCCCTTCGGAGGGCGGGTTACCCAGGGCCCTTGGGTGTTCATGCATATTCATGAAGGGGTGAAGCTGGTGGGTCTTTATAAGGGCCACTGGCGGGGTCGGACTCCTGCCTGGACCTGCGTGCAGCACAGAGGCCAACTGAGGCCCACGGGAGCCGCCGGCCTCTATCTGTCTGTGTCTGTCCGTGAAATTCCAGCCAGGTGCCCTCGCGATGGCTCTCCCGACACCTTCTAACAGCCCCTTCCCCGCGAAAGCCCGAGGACGAGGACGGCAAAGGAGACTGGTTTGTAACCTGAACGAAAAAGATGCCCTGCCAGCATGCTTTGAGCGGAACCTGTACCCAAACTGGCCAGAGAGACCTGCCTATTGGAGTCCAGGATTCAGATTTCGTGTCAGAATCGAAGGTCCAGGCATCCAGGCCAGGGTAGCAGGGAACCCGCGCACGCAGGCGGCCTGTGCAACGCGGCCTACAGCGGGTGCCACCCTCCCTCCTTGGTCGCCTTCACCCACGCCAGGGCGTGGGGAACAGGGGGCTTTCGTGAGCCAGACAGCAAGGGTCGCCCCTCTGCTGCAGCCCAGCCAGGCTTCGCAGGCAGAAGGAATCTCCCAACCTATCACGGCACACAGGGATTTTGGATTTGCGGCCCTGGCTCCTTCGGAAGTGGAGCTGTCCCACCCTCAGACACCTGGGTGACCTCAGCATCCGAACAGATGGCAGCAGGACCAGGACCCGTAGTACGGTGGCTTTCTCGGTGCGTGCTCAATGGGACAGCTTGGGCCGCTCAGGCTGAGTCACAGGGGCAAGGTGTGCTTGCGCCGCACACGTCCCACATGAGTCCATATTGGGGCTGGGGCCAGGGTCCACTGGTCGCCAGGGCTCGTGGGAACGCGAAGCCGAGGCACATCTACGCAGCTCGCGCCCATGGAGGTCTCGGCGTGTCAGAAGAAGATGTAAGCAATCCAGGCACCCTCCCAACCGCTCCAGGAGCTGGAGTCTTCATCTGTACTCGCATCCACCCTGTTATATGAGCTCCTGTCTACCCCATTTTTCAGCAAAGGACACAATTTCAGCAAAGGACACAACCTTTCCTAGCAACGGAGCCGCTGAGGGATTTGAAGGACTTGGAAGAGCCTGCTTTTCTGGAACCACTCCTCAGCCAGGAAGAACACTGGGCTCAGCTGGAGGAGCTTTAGGACGCGGGGTTGGGACCGGGTGGGGGCAGGTCAGTGGCTCCTCTTTCGCGGTGAACCTCTGGTTCAGTATGGAGACCTGTGTCTTCCCTTCCAGCTGACCTGTCTAGGATCCCTGAGTCCAAGTCCAGCGAGAGACTCCACAGAAAGGAGGGCTGTCATTCTTTCCTGAGCATCCCAAGGATTTCAGAGCCAGCCCAGGTACTCAGAGATGGGCCGTCTACTGCGCATGCGCAGGTCCGCGGGCAGCCGGCTAGGGTTTGGGACCAGCCCAGGCAGGGCTCTCATCCCTTCCCCCACTCCCCCACACAGTACATCCCCCCCTCCCCCGCGTTCTTCAGTGGTGTAGGTGGAGACCTCCACCCCGGGAAATACCGATCCGGGCAGCGGCCAGGCCTGCTCTCCTTTTCGCAGCTCAACTCCACTACCTCCCCGCTCCACCCTCCTTCGCCCACCCGTGCCCCGCCATCCTCCTTGGCATCACGTGAAGCGCCCGGGAACTAAATGTAGACCCCGAGATCTCGTGCAAACCGTGGTTCTGCCCTTTCTAGGCGGGAGGGAAGCCAGGCAGAGATGGGGAAAGGAACGGAGACAAAGTGAGAGAGAGGGACAGAGGGAGGAAAGGACGGATGAAAGGACGGACCTTGGAAGGGATGGAGGGAGGGAGGGAGGGAAAGAAAAAGGAAGGGAGGGAGGGAAGGAGGGAGAAAGGGAGGTATGGATGGTGGGAGAGAGGGAAGGAGAGAACAGAGGGAGGGAGGGAGACAGGGAGGGAGAGAGGGAGAGAAGGAAGAACAGAGGGAAGGATGGACAGAGGGAGAAAAGGAGCAAGAAACAGAGAAGGGAAGGCAAAGAGAAAAGAGGTCTTCTGCCTCCAGGCCCAGCAGGACCTCGAACTCCGGGAAAATGTTGGGTGCCCAGTGCAGGCTGAGTGCTCAGCCCACAGCCGCCTCGGCCGGCGGTGTGCTCACCGGCCCTCTGGTTCACCAGCCTGGGTTACTTCATTCGGGAGCGATTCAGAGGAATTCCACCTCCCAAGGAATGAGCGAATTTCCCAAAGATCAGAGACGAGACTCGAATGGTTGTCCGTTTTTCATCCACATGGTTCACAGATGACATATCCCCACGCTGAGCCTGCAACAGAGCGCGAGGCAGATACTCCCATCCACACAGGAGTCACACTCAAGCCGAGTGAACCATGATTCCGGATTCCACGTTCCTTTGCCCTCTGCAAGTGGGCCTGCTGCTCACGTGTCTCTGGCCCCCGAAAGCGTGACCATGTTGACTGTTTGTTTCCCGAGCTCTGTGGGGACACAGAAACCCCCAGCGAAGGGTGGAAAAGCAGCATCGTGTCTTCGCTCTCCTTTCGTTTCCAAACAGGCCATTTTCGAGACTCCCCATGTTGCAGGAAACAGGAATCCGTCATCAGGCCGTGATGCCTCAGTCCCTTGCCCAGGCTATAGGCCCACCAGGCAGCCTCCCTTTTGCTGACACTCCAGGCCTTCCCCCCGGCTCGCGAGCTCCCGATTTTCCAACACATCGGGCCGGCTCAAGACAGGGTGTGCTTGGAGGAGTCAGGGCCCGGGGCCCACAGTCCTGGGATCCCCTCTGGTCCTCCGCCTTGCCACGGAAAAATTGTTTTGGATCCTTCGCCACCCCTCCTGCAAGGCCCCCTCTTGGCCCACACACCCAGAGCAGTCAGGGCTGCCCAGGGGCAAACAGCCGGCCCAGCCCCGCAGGCCCTTTTTCTCACAATACCCACACCATCGTCGCTTGTCCCAACGAGGACCCGCCCGTGGCCAACGGGACAGGAAGTCCCTGCTTTGCCCCGCGCCGGCACTAGAGCCTCGGCAGCCTGATCCCGGGAAACAGGAGCTGACGGACACGCAGACACACCCCACCACTACCACGAGCAAACCCACCACGACACACACACAGATACACACGGGTGCATGCACACAGCACACATGGACACACACACAGACACACACACGGGACACACATACAAGGACATACAGA
>NC_000014.9:16000000-16022537 GCF_000001405.40 Homo sapiens | reverse complement strand
TCTGTCTAGTTTTTATGTGAAGATATTTCTTTTTCCCCTGTAGGTCACAAAGGCCTCCAAATATCCACTTGCAGATTCTACAAAAAGAGTATTTGAAAACTTCACAATCAAAAGAAAGTTTCAACTCTGTGAGATGAATGCACACATCACAAAGAAGTTTCTCAGATTGCTTCTGTCTAGTTTATGTGAAGATATTTCCTTTTCCAACAGAGGCTGCAAAACACTCGAAATATCCACTTGCAGATTCTAAAAAAAGAGTGTTTCAAAACTGCTCAATCAAAAGAAAGACTCAAATCTGTGAGTTGAACACACACAACACAAAGAACTTTGTCAGAATGCTTCTCTCTAGTTTTTATGTGAAGATATTTGCTTTTCCACCATAGGCCGCAAAGCGCGCCAAGTATCCACTTGCAGATTTTACAAAAATAGTGTTTCAAAACTGCTCAAACAAAAGAAAGGTTCAACTCTGTGAGTTGAATGCACACATCACAAAGAAGTTTCTCAGAATGCTTCTCCGTAGTTTTTATGTGAAAATATATCCTTTTCCGCATTAGGCCACAAAGCATTGCAAATATCCACTTGCAGATCCTAAAAAAAGTGTGTTTCAAAACTACTCAATCAAAAGAAAGGTTCAACTCTGTGTGTTGAATGCACACATCACAAACCAATTTCTCAGAATGCTTCTGTGTAGTTTTCACGTGAAAATATTTACTTTTCTACCATAGGCCTCAAAACACTCCAAGTATCCAATTGGAGATTCTACAAAAAGAGTGTTTCAAAACTGCTCAATCAAAAGAAAGCTTCAACTCTGTGAGATGAATGCACACATGACAAAGAAGTTTCTCAGAATGCTGTTGTCTAGTTTTTATGTGAAGATATTGCCTTTTCCACTTAAGGCCACATAGCGCTCCAAACATCCACTTGCAGATTCTGCAAAAGGAGTCTTTCAAAACTGCTCAATCTAAAGAAGGACTGCACTCTTTGAGTTAAATGCACACATCACAAAGAAGTTTCTCAGAATGCTTCTGTGTACTATTTATGTGAAGATATTTCCTTTTCCACCGTAGGCCTCAAAGCACTCCAAAAATCCACTGTCAGATTTTACAAAAAGAGTGTTTCAAAACTGCTGAATCAAAAGAAAGGTTGAACTCTGTGGGTTGAATGCACACATCACAAAGTAGTTTCTCAGAATGCTTCTGTCTAATTTTTATGTGAAAATATTCCGTTTTCCACCATAGGCCTCAATGTGCTCCAAATATCCACTTGCAGATTCTACAAAAAATGTGTTTCCAAACTGCTCAACCAAAAGAATGGTTCAACTCTGTGAGATGAAACCACATATCATAAGGAAGTTTCTCAGAAATTTTCTGTCTAGTTTTTATGTGAGAATGTTTCCTATTTCATCCATAGGCGTCAATGGGCTGAGAAATATCCCTTCACAGATTCTACGAAAGGACTGTTTCCAAACTGCTGAATCGAAAGAAATGTTCAACTCTTTGTGATGAATGTGCACATCACAAAGAAGTTTCTCAGAATGATTCTGTCTAGTTTTTATGTGAAGATATTTCGTTTTCCACTATAGGCCACAAAGGACTCCAAATATCCACTTGCAGATTCCCCATAAAGAGTGTTTCCAAACTGCTCAATCAAAGGAAAGTTACAACTCTGTGAGATGAAAGAACACATCATAAAGAAGTTTCTTACAGAAAGCTCCTGTCTAGTTTTTATGTGAAGATATTTTATGTTTCACCATAGTCCAGAAGGTGCTCAAAAATAGCCCTTTGCAGATTCTACACAAAGACTGTTTCCAAACTTCTGAACCAAAATAAAGGTTCAACTCTGTGAGATGAAAGCACATATCTCAAAGAAGTTTCTCAGAAACGTTCTGTCTGGTTTTTATGAGAAGTTATTTCCTATTTCACCATAGGCCTCAATGGACTGAGAAATATCCCTTTGCAGATTCTGCAAAAGGACTATTTCCAAACTGCTCAATCCAAAGAAAGTTTCACCTCTTTGAGTTGAATGCACGCATCACAAACAAGTTTCTCAGAATGCTTCTGTCTAGTTTTTATGTGAAGATATTTCCTTTTTCACCATAGCCCTTAAACTGCTCTCACATATCCCTCTGCAGATACTGCAAAAAGACTGTTTCCAAACTGCTCCATCAAAGGAAAGGTTCAACTCTGTGAGATGAATGGATACATCACAAAGAAGTTTCTCAGAATACTTCTGTCTAGTTTTTATGTGAAGATATTTCTTTTTTGATATAGGCCTCCAACTTCTCAGAAATATCCCATTCCAGATTGTACAAAAAGACTGTATCCAAACTTCTCAATGAAAAGAAACTTTCAACTCTGTGTGATGTATGCATGCATCAAAAAGAAGTTTCTCAGAAAGCTTCTGTTTATATTTCATGCAAAGGTATTTCCTTTTTCACCATAGGCCTCAAAGCGCTCCAAATATCCATTTGCAGATTCTACAAAAAGACTGTTTCCAAACTGCTCAATCAAAAGAAAGTTTCATATCTGTGACATGAAAGCACACATCACTAAGAAGTTTATCAGAAAGCTTCTGTCTACTTTTTATGTGAAAATATGTCCTTTTTCACCATAGGCGTCAATGGGAACAGAAATATCCCTTTGCAGATCCCACAAAAATACTGTTTCCTAACTGCTCAACCAAAAGAATGGTTCAACTCTGTGAGATGAAACCACATATCACAAAGAAGTTTCTCAGAAATCCTCTGTCTAGTTTTTATATGAAGATATTTCCTACTTCATCCATAGGCCTCAATGGGCTCAGAAATATCCTTTCACAGATTCTACAAAACGACAATTTCCAAACTGCTCAATCCAAAGACAGGTTCAACTCTTTGAGATGAATGCACAGAACATAAAGAAGTTTCTCAGAATGCTTCTACCTAGTTTTTATGTGAAGATATTTCCTTTTTCACCACAGGCCTTAAACTGCTTTCACACATCCCTCTGCAGATACTACAAAAAGACTGTTTCCAGACTGCTCCATCAAAAGAAAAATTCAAATCTGTGAGATGAATAGATACATCACAAAAAATTTTCTCAGAATACTTCTGTCTACATTTTATCTGAAGATATTTCTTTTTCACCATAGGCCTCCAACTTCGCAGAAATTTCCTTTGCAGACTGTACAAAAAGACTGTTTCCAAACTGCTCAATGAAAAGAAAGTTTCACCTCTGTGAGATGTATGAACTCATAAAAAAGAAGTTTCTCAGAAAGCTTCTGTTTAGATTTCATGTGAAGATATGTCCTTTCTCACCATAGGCGTCAAAGCGCTCAAAATATCCTTTGCAGATTCTACAAAAACACTGTTTCCAAACTGCTCAATCGAAAGAAAGTTCAAACCTGTGAGATGAAAGCACACATCACTAAAAAGTTTCTCAGAATGCTTCTGTCTAGTTTTTAAGTGAAGATATTTCTTCTTTCACCATAGGTCTCAATGGGCCCAGAAATATCCCTTTGCAGATCCTACAAAAGGACTGTTTACAAACTGCTCAATCAAAACAAAGTTTCAACTCTGTCAGTTGAATGCACACATCACAAAGAAGTGTCTCAGAATCTTCTGACTAGGTTTTATATGAAGATATTTCCTTTCTCACCAAAGTCCTCAAAATGCTCACAAATATCTCTCTGCAGATACTATAAAAGACTGTTTCCAAACTGCTCAATCAAAAGAAAGGTTCAACTCTGTGAGATGAACGCACACATCACAAAAATGTTTCCAGAATGCTTCTGTCTGGTTGTTATGTGAAGATATTTCCTTTTTCACCACAGGCCTCAAAGCACTCCAAATATCCATTTGCAGATCCTACAAAAAGAGAGTTTCCAAATTGCTCAATCAAAAGGTAGTTTCATCTCTGTGAGATGAAAACACACATCCCAAAGAAGTTTCTCAGAAAGCTTCTGTTTATTTTTTATGTGAAGATATTTCCTAATTCACCATAGGCCTAAATCGGCTAAGAAGTATCCTTTTGCAGATTGTAGAAAAATACTGTTTCCAAACTGCTGAATCAAAAGAAAAGTTGAACTGTGTGAGATGAATGCACACATCACAAAGAAGATTCTCAGAATGCTTCTGTCTAGTTTTTATGTGAAGATATTTGCCTTTCCACCATAGGCTGCAATGGTCACCAAATATCCACTTGCAGATATTAAAAAAATAGTGTTTCAAAACTGCCCGATCTAAAGAAAGGTTCAACTCTGTACGTTGAATGCACACATCACAAAGAAGTTTCTCAGAATGTTTCTGTCTACCTTTTATCCAAAGTTATTTCCTTTTCCACTATACTCGGCAAAGCCCTCCGAATATCCACTTGCAGATTCTACAAAAGAAGTGTTTCAAAATTGCACAATCAAAAGAAAGATTCAACTCTGGGAGTTGTATGCACACATCAGAAAGAAGTTTCTCAGAATGCTTTTGTGTAGTTTTTATGTGAAGATATTTCCTTTTCCACCATAGGCCCTAAAGCTCTCCAAATATCCACTTGCAGATTATACAAAAAGAGGGATTCAAAACTGCTCAATCAAAAGAAAGGTTCAACTCCGTGAGCTGAAGGCTCACATAACAATGCTGTTTCTCAGAATGCTTCTCCATAGTTTTTATATGAAGATATTTCCTTTTCCACCATTCTCTCCAAAGCGCTCCAAATATCCACTTGCAGATTCTATAAAAAGAGTGTTTCAAAACTGCTCAATGAAAAGAAAGTTTCAACTCTGTGAAATGAATGGACACATCACAAAGACGTTTCTCAGAATGCTTCTGTCTAGTGTTTATGTGAAGATATTTCCTTTTCCACCACACTTCTCAAAGCGATCTAAATATGCACTTGCAGATGCTACGAAGAGTGTTTCAAAACTGCTGAATCAAAAGAATGTTTCAAATCTGTGAGATGAATGAACACATCACAGAGAAGTTTCTCAAAATGCTTCTGTCTAGTTTTTATGAGAAGATAATACTTTTCCACCATTGGCCCCAAAGGGCTCCAAATAACAACTGCAGATCCTTCAAAAAGTGTATAAAAAATGCTAAATCAATAGAAAGTTTCAACTCTGTGAGATGTATGCACACATCACAAAGAAGTTTCTCAGAATGCTTCTCTCTAGTTTTTATGTGAGGATATTTCCTTCTCCACCATAGGACTCAATGCACTCCAAATAAACACTGGCAGATTCTAGAAAAAGAGCGTTTCAAAACTGCTCAATCAAAAGAAATTTTCAAATTTGTGAGATGAATGTGCACATCACAAAGAAGTTTCTTAGAGTAATTCTGTCTAGTTTTTATGTGAAGATTTTTCATTTTCCACCATACTCCTCAAAGCGTTCCAAATATCCACTTTCACATTCTACAAGGAGATTGTTTCAAAACTGCTCAATAAAAAGAATGGTTCAACTATGTGAGATGAATGCAAGCATCACAAAGAGGTATTTCAGAATGCTTCTGTGTAGTTTTTATGTGAAGATGTTTCCTTTACCACCATAGGACCCAAAGCCCTCCAAATATCCACTTACAGATTCTCCAAAAAGTATTTCAAAAGTGCTCAATCAAAAGAAAGGTTGAACTCTTTGAGATGAATGCACACATCACAAAGATGTTTTTCAGAATGCTTGTCTGTCTAGTTTTTATGTGAATATACATCCTTTTCCACTATAGGCCACAAAGTGCTCCAAACACCCACTTGTAGATTCTACAAAAAGAGTGTTTCAAAAGTCCTCAATAAAAAAAGTTATAACTCTGTGAAGTGAATGTACACATCACAAAGAAGATTCTCAGAATGCTTCTGTCTAGTTTTTATGTGAAGATATTTGCTTTTCCACCATTGGATGCAAATTGCACCCAATATACACTTGTAGATTTTACAAAAATAGTGTTTCAAAACTGCTCAATCAAAAGAAAGGTTCAATTCTGTGAGTTGAATGCACGCATAAGAAAGAAGTTTCTCAGAATGCTTCGCTGTAGTTTTTATGTGAAGATATTTCCTTTCCCACCATAAGCCTCAAAGTGCTCCAAATATCCACTTGCACACTCTACAAAAAGAGTGGTTGAAAACTGCTCAATCAAAAGAAAGGTTGAACTCTGTGAGATGAATGCACACATCACAAAGAAGTTTCTCAGAATGCTTCTCCGTAGTTTTTATGTGAAGATATATCCTTTTCCGCAGTAGGCCACAAAGCACTCCAAATATCCACTTGCAGATCCTAAAAAAAGTGTGTTTCAAAACTGCTCAATCAAAAGAAAGGTTCAACTCTGTGTGTTGAATGCACACATCACAAACCAATTTCTCAGAATGCTTCTGTGTAGTTTTCATGTGAAGATATTTCCTTTTCCACCATAGGCCTCAAAGCGCTCCAAGTATCTAATTGGAGATTCCACAAGAGTGTTTCAATACTACTCAATCAAAAGAAAGCTTCAACTCTGTGAGATGAATCCACACATCACAAAGAAGTTTCTCAAAATGCTGCTGTCTAGTTTTTATGGGAAGATATGTCCTTTTCCACCATGGGCCTCAAAGTGCTCCAAATATCCACTTGCAGATTCTACAAAAATACAGTTTCCAAACTGCTCAATAAAAAGAAAGGTTCAACTCTGTGAGATGAATGCACACATCACAAAATGTTTCTCAGAATACTTCTGTGTACTATTTATGTGAAGATATTTCCTTTTCCACTGTAGGCCTCAAAGCGCTCCAAAAATCCACTGTCAGATTTTACAAAAAGAGTGTTTCAAAACTGCTGAATCAAAAGAAAGGTTGAACTCTGTGGGTTGAATGCACACATCACAAAGTAGTTTCTCAGAATGCTTCTGTCTAATTTTTATGTGAAAATATTTCGTTTTCCACCATAGGCCTCAATGTGCTCCAAATATCCACTTGCAGATTCTACAAAAAGAGTGTTTCCAATCTTCTCAACCAAAAGAACGGTTCAACTCTGTGAGATGAAACCACATATCACAAAGAAGTTTCTCAGAAATTTCTGTCTAGTTTTTAATGTGAGAATATTTCCTATTTCATCCATAGGCATCAATGGGCTGAGAAATATCCCTTCACAGATTCTACAAAAGGACTGTTTCCAAACTGCTGAATTGAAAGAAATGTTCAACTCTTTGTGATGAACGTGCACATCACAAAGAAGTTTCTCAGAATGATTCTGTCTAGTTTTTATGTGAAGATATTTCGTTTTCCACTATAGGCCACAAAGGACTCCAAATATCCACTTGCAGATTCCCCATAAAGAGTGTTTCCAAACTGCTCAACCAAAGGAAAGTTACAACTCTGTGAGATGAAAGAACACATCATAAAGAAGTTTCTCAGAAAGCTTCTGTCTAGTTTTTATGTGAAGATATTTTCTGTTTCACCATAGTCCAGAAGGTGCTCAAAAATAGTGCTTTGCAGATTCTACACAAAGACTGTTTCCAAACTTCTGAACCAAAAGAAAGGTTCAGCTCTGTGAGATGAAAGCACATATCTCAAAGAAGTTTCTCAGAAACCTTCTGTCTGGTTTTTATGAGAAGATATTTCCTATTTCACCATAGGTCTCAATGGGCTGAGAAACAACCCTTTTGCAGATTCTACAAAAGGACTGTTTCCAAACTGCTCAATCCAAAGAAAGTTTCACCTCTTTGAGTTGAATGCATACATCACAAAGAAGTTTCTCAGAATGCTTCTGCCTAGTTTTTATGTGAAGATATTTCCTTTTTCACCACAGGCCTTAAACTGCTCTCAGATATCCCTCCGCAGATACTACAAAAAGACTGTCTCCAAACTGCTCCATCAAAAGTAAGGTTCAACTCTGTGAGATGAAAGGATACATCTCAAAGAAGTTTCTCAGAATACTTCTGTCTAGTTTTTATGTGAAGATATTTCTTTTTCGATATAGGCCTCCAACTTCTCAGAAATATCCCTTTCCAGATTGTACAAAAAGACTGTTTCCAAACTGCTCAATGAAAAGAAACTTTCAACTCTGTGAGATGTATGCATGCATCAAAAAGAAGCTTCTCAGAAAGCTTCTGTTTATATTTCATGTGAAGGTATTTCCTTTTTCACCATAAGCCTCAAAGCACTCCAAATATCCATTTGCAGATTCTACAAAAAGACTGTTTCCAAACTGATCAATCAAAAGAAAGTTTCAAATCTGTGACATGAAAGCACACATCACTAAGAAGTTTATCAGAAAGCTTCTGTCTAGTTTTTATGTGAAGATATGTCCTTTTTCACCATAGGCGTCAATGGGAACAGAAATATCCCTTTGCAGATCCCACAAAAATACTGTTTCCTAACTGCTCAACCAAAAGAATGGTTCAACTCTGTGAGATGAAACCACATATCACAAAGAAGTTTCTCAGAAATCCTCTGTCTTGTTTTTATGTGAAGATATTTCCTATTTCATCCATAGGCCTCAATGGGCTCAGAAATATCCCTTCACAGATTCTACAAAACGACAGTTTCCAAACTGCTCAGTCCAAAGACAGGTTCAAGTCTTTGAGATGAATGCAAACAATACAAAGAAGTTTCTTAGAATGCTTCTACCTTGTTTTTATGTGAAGATATTTCCTTTTTCACCACAGGCCTTAAACTTCTCTCACATATCCCTCTTCAGATACTACAAAAAGACTGTTTCCACACTGCTCCATCAAAAGAAAAATTCAACTCCGTGAGATGAATAGATACATCACAAAAAATTTTCTCAGAATACTTCTGTCTACATTTTATCTGAAGATATTTCTTTTTCACCATAGGCCTCTAACTTCGCAGAAATATTCCTTTGCAGATTTTACAAAAAGACTGTTTCCAAACTGCTCAATGAAAAGAAAGTTTCACCTCTGTGAGATGTATGCAGTCATCAAAAGGAAGTTTCTCAGAAAGCTTCTGTTTAGATTTCATGTGAAGATATGTCCTTTTTCACCATAGGCCTCAAAGTGCTTGAAGTATCCTTTGCAGATTCTACAAAAAGACTGTTTCCAAACTGCTCAATCAAAAGAAAGGTTCAAACCTGTGAGATGAAAGCACACATCACTAAGAAGTTTCTCAGAATGCTTCTGTCTAGTTTTTAAGTGAAGATATTTCTTCTTTCACCATAGGTCTCAATGGGCCCAGAACTATCCCTTTGCAGATCCTACAAAAGGACTGTTTACAAACTGCTCAATCAAAACAAAGTTTCACCTCTATCAGTTGAATGCACACATCACAAAGAAGTTTCTCAGAATCTTCTGACTAGGTTTTATATGAAGATATTTCCTTTCTCACCAAGTCCTCAAAATGCTGACAAATATCTCACTGCAGATACTATCAAAGACTGTTTCCAAACTGCTCAATCAAAAGAAATGTTCAACTCTGCGAGATGAATGCACGCATCACAAAGATGTTTCCAGAATGCTTCTGTCTGGTTGTTATGTGAAGATATTTCCTTTTTCACCACAGGCCTCAAAGCGCTCCAAATATCCATTTGCAGATCCTACAAAAAGAAAGTTTCGAAATTGCTCAATCAAAAGAAAGTTTCATCTCTCTGAGATGAAAACACACATCCCAAAGAAGTTTCTCAGAAAGCTTCTGTCTAGTTTTTATGTGAAGATATTTCCTAATTCACCATAGACCGAAATCGGCTAAGAAGTATCCCTTTGCAGATTGTACAAAAATACTGTTTCCAAACTGCTGAATCAGAAGAAAAGTTGAACTGTGTGAGATGAATGCACACATCACAAAGAAGTTTCTCAGAATGCTTCTGTCTAGTTTTTATGTGAAGATATTTGCTTTTCCATCATAGGCCGCAATCGTCACCAAATATCCACTTGCAGATTTTACAAAAATAGTGTTTCAAAACTGCCCAATCTAAAGAAAGGTTCAACTCTGTACGTTGAATGCACACATCACAAAGAAGTTTCTCAGAATGCTTCTGTCTACCTTTTATCCAAAGTTATTTCCTTTTCCACTATACTCGGCAAAGCCCTCCTAATATCCACTTGCAGATTCTACAAAAGAAGTGTTTCAAAATTGCACAATCAAAAGAAAGATTCAACTCTGGGAGTTGTATGCACACATCAGAAAGAAGTTTCTCAGAATGTTTTTGTGTAGTTTTTATGTGAAGATATTTCCTTTTCCACCATAGGCCCTAAAACTCTCCAAATATCCACTTGCAGATTCTACAAAAAAAGGGAATCAAAACTGCTCAATCAAAAGAAAGGTTGAACTCTGTGAGCTGAAGGCACACATAACAATGCCGTTTCTCAGAATGCTTCTCCATAGTTTTTATATGAAGATATTTCCATTTCCACCATTCTCTCCAAAGTGCTCCAAATATCCACTTGCAGATTCTATAAAAAGAGTGTTTCAAAACTGCTCAATGAAAAGAAAGTTTCACCTCTGTTAGATGAATGGACACATCACAAAGACGTTTCTCAGAATGCTTCTGTCTAGTGTTTATGTGAAGATATTTCCTTTTCCACCACACGTCTCAAAGCGATCTAAATATGCACTTGCAGATTCTAGGAAGAGTGCTTCAAAACTGCTGAATCAAAAGAATGGTTCAAATCTGTGAGATGAACGAACACATCACAAAGAATTTGCTCAAAATGCTTCTGTCTAGTTTTTATGAGAAGATAATACTTTTCCACCATTGGCCCCAAAGGGCTCCAAATAGCAACTGCAGATCCTACAAAAAGTGTATAAAAAATGCTAAATCAATAGAAAGTTTCAACTCCGTGAGATGTATGCACACATCACAAAGAAGTTTCTCAGAATGCTTCTCTCTAGTTTTTATGTGATGATATTTCCTTCTCCACCATAGGCCTCAAAGCACTCCAAATATCCACTGGCAGATTCTAGAAAAAGAGAGTTTCAAAACTGCTCAATCAAAAGAAATTTTCAAATCTGTGAGATGAATGCGCACATCACAAAGAACTTTCTCAGAGTACTTCTGTCTAGTTTTTATGTGAAGATTTTTCATTTTCCACCATACTCATCAAAGCGTTCCAAATATCCACTTGCACATTCTACAGGGAGATTGTTTCAAAACTGCTCAATAAAAAGAATGGTTCAACTATGTGAGATGAATGCAAGCATCACAAAGAGGTATTTCAGAATGCTTCTGTGTAGTTTTTATGTGAAGATGTTTCCTTTACCACCATAAGACCCAAAGCCCTCCAAATATCCACTTACAGATTCTCCAAAAGGTATTTCAAAAGTGCTCAATCAAAAGAAAGGTTGAACTCTTTGAGATGAATGCACACATCACAAAGATGTTTCTCAGAATGCTTCTGTCTAGTTTTTATGTGAAGATATTTCCTTTTCCCCTGTAGGCCACAAAGGCCTCCAAATATCCACTTGCAGATTGCACAAAAAGAGTGTTTGAAAACTTCACAATCAAAAGAAAGTTTCAACTCTGTGAGATGAATGCACACATCACAAGGAAGTTTCACAGAATGCTTCTGTCTAGTTTATGTGAAGATATTTCCTTTTCCAACAGAGGCTGCAAAGCACTCGAAATATCCACTTGCAGATTCTAAAAGAAGAGTGTTTCAAAACTGCTCAATCAAAAGAAAGACTCAACTCTGTGAGTTGAACACACACAACACAAAGAACTTTGTCAGAATGCTTCTCTGTAGTTTTTATGTGAAGATATTTCCTTTTCCACCATAAGCCTCAAAGAGCTCCAAATATCCGCTTGCACACTCTACAAAAAGAGCGTTTCAAAACTGCTCAATCAAAAGAAAGGTTGAACTCTGTGAGATGAATGCACACATCACAAAGAAGTTTCTCAGAATGCTTCTCCGTAGTTTTTATGTGAAAATATATCCTTTTCCTCATTAGGCCACAAAGCACTCCAAATATCCACTTGCAGATCCTAAAAAAAAGTGTGTTTCAAAACTACTCAATCAAAAGAAAGGTTCAACTCTGTGTGTTGAATGCACACATCACAAACCAATTTCTCAGAATGCTTCTGTGTAGTTTTCACGTGAAGATATTTACTTTTCTACCATAGGCCTCAAAACGCTCCAAGTATCCAACTGGAGATTCTACAAAAAGAGTGTTTCAAAACTGCTCAATCAAAAGAAAGCTTCAACTCTGTGAGATGAATGCAAACATGACAAAGAAGTTTCTCAGAATGCTGTTGTCTAGTTTTTATGTGAAGATATTGCCTTTTCCACTTAAGGCCACATAGCGCTCCAAACATCCACTTGCAGATTCTGCAAAATAAGTCTTTCAAAACTGCTCAATCTAAAGAAGGATTGCACTCTTTGAGTTAAACGCACACATCACAAAGAAGTTTCTCAGAATGCTTCTGTGTACTATTTATGTGAAGATATTTCCTTTTCCACCGTAAGCCTCAAAGCACTCCAAAAATCCACTGTCAGATTTTACAAAAAGAGTGTTTCAAAACTGCTGAATCAAAAGAAAGGTTCAACTCTGTGGGTTGAATGCACACATCACAAAGTAGTTTCTCAGAATGCTTCTGTCTAATTTTTATGTGAAAATATTCCGTTTTCCACCATAGGCCTCAATGTGCTCCAAATATCCACTTGCAGATTCTACAAAAAATGTGTTCCCAAACTGCTCAAACAAAAGAACGGTTCAACTCTGTGAGATGAAACCACATATCATAAAGAAGTTTCTCAGAAATTTTCTGTCTAGTTTTTATGTGAGAATATTTCCTATTTCATCCATAGGCATCAATGGGCTGAGAAATATCCCTTCACAGATTCTACAAAAGGACTGTTTCCAAACTGCTCAATCGAAAGAAATGTTCAACTCTTTGTGATGAATGTGCACATCACAAAGAAGTTTCTCAGAATGATTCTGTCTAGTTTTTATGTGAAGATATTTCGTTTTCCACTATAGGCCACAAAGGACTCCAAATATCCACTTGCAGATTCCCCATAAAGAGTGTTTCCAAACTGCTCAATCAAAGGAAAGTTACAACTCTGTGAGATGAAAGAACACATCATAAAGAAGTTTCTCAGAAAGCTTCTGTCTAGTTTTTATGTGAAGATATTTTCTGTTTCACCATAGTCCAGAAGGTGCTCAAAAATAGCCCTTTGAAGATTCTACACAAAGACTGTTTCCAAACTTCTGAACCAAAAGAAAGGTTCAGCTCTGTGAGATGAAAGCACATATCTCAAAGAAGTTTCTCAGAAACCTTCTGTCTGGTTTTTATGGGAAGATATTTCCTATTTCACCATAGGCCTCAATGGGCTGAGAAATATCCCTTTGCAGATTCTACAAAAGGACTGTTTCCAAACTGCTCAATCCAAAGAAAGTTTCACCTCTTTGAGATGAATGCATACATCACAAAGAAGTTTCTCAGAATGCTTCTGCCTAGGTTTTTGTGAAGATATTTCCTTTTTCACCGTAGGCCTTAAACTGCTCTCAGATATCTCTCTGCAGATACTACAAAAAGACTGTCTCCAAACTGCTCCATCAAAAGTAAGGTTCAACTCTGTGAAATGAAAGGATACATCTCAAAGAAGTTTCTCAGAATACTTCTGTCTAGTTTTTATGTGAAGATATTTCGTTTTCGATATAGGCCTCCAACTTCTCAGAAATATCCCATTCCAGATTGTACAAAAAGACTGTTTTCAAACTGCTCAATGAAAAGAAACGTTCAACTCTGTGAGATGTATGCACGCATCAAAAAGAAGTTTCTCAGAAAGCTTCTGTTTATATTTCATGTGAAGGTATTTCCTTTTTCACCATAGGCCTCAAAGCACTCCAAATATCCATTTGCAGATTCTACAAAAAGACTGTTTCCAAACTGCTCAATCAAAAGAAAGTTTCAAATCTGTGACATGAAAGCACACATCACTAAGAAGTTTATCAGAAAGCTTCTGTCTAGTTTTTATGTGAAGATATGTCCTTTTTCACCATAGGCATCAATGGGAACAGAAATATCCCTTTGCAGATCCTACAAAAAGACTGTTTCCTAACTGCTCAACCAAAAGAATGGTTCAACTCTGTGAGATGAAACCACATATCACAAAGAAGTTTCTCAGAAATCCTCTGTCTAGTTTTTATGTGAAGATATTTCATATTTCATCCATAGGCCTCAATGGGCTCAGAAATATCCCTTCACAGATTCTACAAAACGACAGTTTCCAAACTGCTCAGTCCAAAGACAAGTTCAAGTCTTTGAGATGAATGCACGCAATACAAAGAAGTTTCTTAGAATGCTTCTACCTAGTTTTTATGTGAAGATATTTCCTTTCTCACCACAGGCCTTAAACTGCTCTCACACATCCCTCTGCAGATACTACAAAAAGACTGTTTCCAGACTGCTCCATCAAAAGAAAAATTCAACTCTGTGAGATGAATAGATACATCACAAAAAATTTTCTCAGAATACTTCTGTCTACATTTTATCTGAAGATATTTCTTTTTCACGATAGGCCTCCAACTTCGCAGAAATTTTGTTTGCAGACTGTACAAAAAGACTGTTTCCAAACTGCTCAATGAAAAGAAAGTTTCACCTCTGTGAGATGTATGAACTCATAAAAAAGAAGTTTCTCAGAAAGCTTCTGTTTAGATTTCATGTGAAGATATGTCCTTTTTCACCATAGGCGTCAAAGCGCTCAAAATATCCTTTGAAGATTCTACAAAAACACTGTTTCCAAACTGCTCAATCAAAAGAAAGTTCAAACCTGTGAGATGAAAGCACACATCACTAAGAAGTTTCTCAGAATGCTTCTGTCTAGTTTTTAAGTGAAGATATTTCTTCTTTCACCATAGGTCTCAATGGGCCCAGAACTATCCCTTTGCAGATCCTACAAAAGGACTGTTTACAAACTGCTCAATCAAAACAAAGTTTCAACTCTATCAGTTGAATGCACACATCACAAAGAAGTTTCTCAGAATCTTCTGACTAGGTTTTATATGAAGATATTTCCTTTCTCACAAAAGTCCTCAAAATGCTCACAAATATCTCTCTGCAGATACTATAAAAGACTGTTTCCAAACTGCTCAATCAAAAGAAAGGTTCAACTCTGTGAGATGAATGCACACATCACAAAAATGTTTCCAGAATGCTTCTGTCTGGTTGTTATGTGAAGATATTTCCTTTTTCACCACAGGCCTCAAAGCGCTCCAAATATCCATTTGCAGATCCTACAAAAAGAGAGTTTCGAAACTGCTCAATCAAAAGAAAGTTTCATCTCTGTGAGATGAAAACACACATCCCAAAGAAGTTTCTCAGAAAGCTTCCATTTATTTTTTATGTGAAGATATTTCCTAATTCACAATAGGCCTAAATTGGCTAAGAAGTATCCCTTTGCAGATTGTACAAAAATACTGTTTCCAAACTGCTGAATCAAAAGAAAAGTTGAACTCTGTGAAATGAATGCACACATCGCAAAGAAGTTTCTCAGAAAGCTTCTGTCTAGTTTTTATGTGAAGATATTTGCCTTTCCACCATAGGCTGCAATGGTCATCAAATATCCACTTGCAGATATTACAAAAATAGTGTTTCAAAACTGCCCGATCTAAAGAAAGGTTCAACTCTGTACGTTGAATGCACACATCACATAGAAGTTTCTCAGAATGTTTCTGTCTACCTTTTATCCAAAGTTATTTCCTTTTCCACTATACTCGGCAAAGCCCTCCGAATATCCACTTGCAGATTCTACAAAAGAAGTGTTTCAAAATTGCACAATCAAAAGAAAGGTTCAACTCTGGGAGTTGTATGCGCACATCAGAAAGAAGTTTCTCAGAATGCTTTTGTGTAGTTTTTATGTGAAGATATTTCCTTTTCCACCATAGGCCCCAAAGCTCTCCAAATATCCACTTGCAGATTCTACAAAAAGCGGGATTCAAAACTGTTCAATCAAAAGAAAGTTTCAACTCTGTGAGTTGAAGGCACACATAACAAAGCCGTTTCTCAGAATGCTTCTCCGTAGTTTTTATATGAAGATATTTCCGTTTCCACCATTCTCTCCAAAGCACTCCAAATATCTACTTGCAGATTCTATAAAAAGAGTGTTTCAAAACTGCTCAATGAAAAGAAAGTTTCAACTCTGTGAGATGAATGGACACATCATAAAGACGTTTCTCAGAATGCTTCTGTCTAGTGTTTATGTGAAGATATTTCCTTTTCCACCACACTTCTCAAAGCGATCTAAATATGCACTTGCAGATTCTACGAAGAGTGTTTCAAAACTGCTGAATCAAAAGAATGGTTCAAATCTGTGAGATGAATGAACACATCACAGAGAAGTTTCTCAAAATGCTTCTGTCTAGTTTTTATGAGAAGATAATTCTTTTCCACCATAGGCCCCAAAGGGCTCCAAATATCCACTGCAGATCCTACAAAAAGTGTTTAAAAAATGCTAAATCAATAGAAAGTTTAAACTCTGTGAGATGTATGCACACATCACAAAGAAGTTTCTCAGAATCCTTCTCTCTAATTTTTATGTGAGGATATTTCCTTCTCCACCATAGGCCTCAAAGCACTCCAAATATCCCCTGGCAGATCCTAAAAAAAGAGCGATTCAAAACTGCTCAATCAAAAGAAATTTTCAAATCTGAGATGAATGCGCACATCACAAAGAAGTTTCTCAGAGTACTTCTGTCTAGTTTTTATGTGAAGATTTTTCATTTTCCACCATACTCATCAAAGCATTCCAAATATCCACTTGCACATTCTACAAGGAGATTGTTTCAAAACTGCTCAATAAAAAGAATGGTTCAACTATGTGAGATGAATGCAAGCATCACAAAGAGGTATTTCAGAATGCTTCTGTGTAGTTTTTATGTGAAGATGTTTCCTTTACCACCATAGGACCCAAAGCCCTCCAAATATCCACTTACAGATTCTCCAAAAAGTATTTCAAAAGTGCTCAATCAAAAGAAAGGTTGAACTCTTTGAGATGAATGCACACATCACAAAGATGTTTTTCAGAATGCTTCTCTGTAGTTTTTATGTGAAGATATTTCCTTTTCCCCTATAGGCCACAAAGACCTCCAAATATCCACTTGCAGATTATACAAAAAGAGTGTTTGAAAACTTCACAATCAAAAGAAAGTTTCCTCTCTGTGAGATGAATGCACACATCACAAGGAAGTTTCTCAGAATGCTTCTGTCTAGTTTATGTGAAGATATTTCCTTTTCCAACAGAGGCTGCAAAGCACTCGAAATATCCACTTGCAGATTCTAAAAAAAGAGTGTTTCAAAACTGCTCAATCAAAAGAAAGACTCAACTCTGTGAGTTGAACACACACAACACAAAGAACTTTGTCAGAATGCTTCTCTGTAGTTTTTATGTGAAGATATTTCCTTTTCCACCATAAGCCTCAAAGAGCTCCAAATATCTGCTTGCACACTCTACAAAAAGAGCGTTTCAAAACTGCTCAATCAAAAGAAAGGTTGAACTCTGTGAGATGAATGCACACATCACAAAGAAGTTTCTCAGAATGCTTCTCCATAGTTTTTATGTGAAAATATATCCTTTTCCGCATTAGGCCACAAAGCACTCCAAATATCCACTTGCAGATCCAAAAAAAAGTGTGTTTCAAAACTGCTAAATCAAAAGAAAGGTTCAACTCTGTGTGTTGAATGCACACATCACAAACCAATTTCTCAGAATGCTTCTGTGTAGTTTTCACGTGAAAATATTTACTTTTCTACCATAAGCCTCAAAACGCTCCAAGTATCCAATTGGAGATTCTACAAAAAGAGTGTTTCAAAACTGCTCAATCAAAAGAAAGCTTCAACTCTGTGAGATGAATGCACACATGACAAAGAAGTTTCTCAGAATGCTGTTGTCTAGTTTTTATGTGAAGATATTGCCTTTTCCACTTAAGGCCACATAGCGCTCCAAATATCCACTTACAGATTCTACAAAAGGAGTCTTTCAAAACTGCTCAATCAAAAGAAGGATTGCACTCTTTGAGTTAAATGCACACATCACAAAGAAGTTTCTCAGAATGCTTCTATGTACTATTTATGTGAAGATATTTCCTTTTCCACCGTAGGCCTCAAAGCGTTCCAAAAATCCACTGGCAGATTTTACAAAAAGAGTGTTTCAAAACTGTTGAATCTAAAGAAAGGTTGAACTCTGTGGGTTGAATGCACACATCACAAAGAAGTTTCTCAGAATGATTCTGTCTAATTTTTATGTGAAAATATTCCGTTTTCCACCATAGGCCTCAATGTGCTCCAAATATCCACTTGCAGATTCTACAAAAAATGTGTTTCCAAACTGCTCAAACAAAAGAACGGTTCAACTCTGTGAGATGAAACCACATATCATAAAGAAGTTTCTCAGAAATTTTCTGTCTAGTTTTTTTGTGAGAATATTTCCTATTTCATCCATAGGCATCAATGGTCTGAGAAATATCCCTTCACAGATTCTACATAAGGACTGTTTCCAAACTGCTGAATCGAAAGAAATGTTCAACTCTTTGTGATGAATGTGCACATCACAAAGAAGTTTCTCAGAATGATTCTATCTAGTTTTTATGTGAAGATATTTCATTTTCCACTATAGGCCACAAAGCACTCCAAATATCCACTTGCAGATTCCCCATAAAGAGTGTTTCCAAACTGCTCAATCAAAGGAAATTTACAACTCTGTGAGATGAAAGAACACATCATAAAGAAGTTTCTCAGAAAGCTTCTGTCTAGTTTTTATGTGAAGATATTTTCTGTTTCACCACAGTCCAGAAGGTGCTCAAAAATAGCGCTTTGCAGATTCTACACAAAGACTGTTTCCAAACTTCTGAGCCAAAAGAAAGGTTCAGCTCTGTGAGATGAAAGCACATATCTCAAAGAAGTTTCTCAGAAACCTTCTGTCTGGTTTTTATGAGAAGTTATTTCCTATTTCACCATAGGCCTCAATGGACTGAGAAATATCCCTTTGCAGATTCTGCAAAAGGACTATTTCCAAACTGCTCAATCCAAAGAAAGTTTCACCTCTTTGAGTTGAATGCATACATCACAAAGAAGTTTCTCAGAATGCTTCTGCCTAGTTTTTATGTGAAGATATTTCCTTTTTCACCATAGGCCTTAAACTGCTCTCAGATATCCCTCCGCAGATACTACAAAAAGACTGTCTCCAAACTGCTCCATCAAAAGTAAGGTTCAATTCTGTGAGATGAAAGGATACATCTCAAAGAAGTTTCTCAGAATACTATTTCTTTTTCGATATAGGCCTCCAACTTCTCAGAAATATCCCATTCCAGATTGTACAAAAAGACTGTTTCCAAACTGCTCAATGAAAAGAAATATTCAACTCTGTGAGATGTATGCACGCATCAAAAAGAAGTTTCTCAGAAAGCTTCTGTTTATATTTCATGTGAAGGTATTTCCTTTTTCACCATAGGCCTCAAAGCACTCCAAATATCCATTTGCAGATTCTACAAAAAGACTGTTTCCAAACTGATCAATCAAAAGAAAGTTTCAAATCTGTGACATGAAAGCACACATCACTAAGAAGTTTATCAGAAAGCTTCTGTCTAGTTTTTATGTGAAGATATGTCCTTTTTCACCATAGGCATCAATGGGAACAGAAATATCTCTTTGCAGATCCTACAAAAAGACTGTTTCCTAACTGCTCAACCAAAAGAATGGTTCAACTCTGTGAGATGAAACCACATATGACAAAGAAGGTTCTCAGAAATCCTCTGTCTAGTTTTTATGTGAAGATATTTCCTATTTCATCCATAGGCCTCAATGGGCTCAGAAATATCCCTTCACAGATTCTACAAAACGACAGTTTCCAAACTGCTCAGTCCAAATACAGGTTCAAGTCTTTGAGATGAATGCACACAATACAAAGAAGTTTCTTAGAATGCTTCTACCTAGTTTTATGTGAAGATATTTCCTTTTCCACCAGAGGCCTTAAACTGTTCTCACATATACCTCTTCAGATACTACAAAAAGACTGTTTCCAGACTGCTCCATCAAAAGAAAATTTCAACTCTGTGAGATGAATGGATACATCACAAAAAATTTTCTCAGAATACATCTGTCTACATTTTATCTGAAGATATTTCTTTTTCACCATAGGCCTCCAACTTCGCAGATATTTCCTTTGCAGACTGTACAAAAAGACTGTTTCCAAACTGCTCAATGAAAAGAAAGTTTCACCTCTGTGAGATGTATGAACTCATAAAAAAGAAGTTTCTCAGAAAGCTTCTGTTTAGATTTCATGTGAAGATATGTCCTTTTTCACCATAGGCGTCAAAGCGCTCAAAATATCCTTTGCAGATTCTACAAAAACACTGTTTCCAAACTGCTCAATCAAAAGAAAGTTCAAACCTGTGAGATGAAAGCACACATCACTAAGAAGTTTCTCAGAATGCTTATGTCTAGTTTTTAAGTGAAGATATTTCTTCTTTCACCATAGGTCTCAATGGGCTCAGAAATATCCCTTTGCAGATCCTACAAAAGGACTGTTTCCAAACTGCTCAATCAAAACAAAGTTTCAACTCTGTCAGATGAATGCACACATCACAAAGAAGTTTCTCAGAATGCTTCTGACTAGGTTTTATATGAAGATATTTCTTTTCTCACCAAAGTCCTCAAAATGCTCACAAATATCTCTCTGCAGATACTATCAAAGACTGTTTCCAAACTACTCAATCAAAAGAAAGGTTCAACTCTGTGAGATGAATGCACACATCACAAAGATGTTCCCAGAATGCTTCTGTCTAGTTGTTATGTGGAGATATTTCCTTTTTCACCACAGGCCTCAAAGCACTCTAAATATCCATTTGCAGATCCTACAAAAAGAGAGTTTCCAAATTGCTCAATCAAAAGAAAGTTTCATCTCTGTGAGATGAAAACACACATCCCAAAGAAGTTTCTCAGAAAGTTTCTGTTTATTTTTTATGTGAAGATATTTCCTAATTCACCATAGGCCTAAATCGGCTAAGAAGTATCCCTTTGCAGATTGTAGAAAAATACTGTTTCCAAACTGCTGAATCAAAAGAAAAGTTGAACTGTGTGAGAAGAATGCACACATCACAAAGAAGATTCTCAGAATGCCTTGGTCTAGTTTTTATGTGAAGATATTTGCCTTTCCACCATAGGCTGCAATGGTCACCAAATATCCACTTGCAGATATTACAAAAGTAGTGTTTCAAAACTGCCAAATCTAAAGAAAGGTTCAACTCTGTACGTTGAATGCACACATCACAAAGAAGTTTCTCAGAATTCTGCTGTCTAGCTTTTATCCAAAGTTATTTCCTTTTCCACTATACTCCACAAAGCCCTCTGAATATCCACTTGCAGATTCTACAAAAGAAGTGTTTCAAAACTGCACAATCAAAAGAAAGTTTCGACTCTGTGAGTTGTATGCACACATCAGAAAGAAGTTTCTCAGAATGCTTTTGTGTAGTTTTTATGTGAAGATATTTCCTTTTCCACCGTAGGCCCTAAAGCTCTCCAAATATCCACTTGCAGATTCTACAAAAAGAGGGAATCAAAAATGCTCAATCAAAAGAAAGGTTCAACTGTGTGAGCTGAAGTCACACATAACAAAGCCGTTTCTCCGAATGCTTCTCCGTAGTTTTTATATGAAGATATTTCCATTTCCACCATTCTCTCCAAAACGCTCCAAATATCCACTTGCATATTCTATAAAAAGAGTGTTTCAAAACTGCTCAATGAAAAGAAAGTTTCAACTCTGTGAAGTGAATGGACACATCACAAAGACATTTCTCAGAATGCTTCTGTCTAGTGTTTATGTGAAGATATTTCCTTTTCCACCACGTGCCTCAAAGCACTCTAAATATGCACTTGCAGATTCAACGAAAAGAGCGTTTCAAAACTGCTCAATCAAAAGAAAGGTTCAACTACTGTGAGATGAATGCACACATCACCAAGAAGTTTCTCAGAATGCTTCTGTCTAGTTTTTATGAGAAGATAGTACTTTTCCACCATTGGCCCCAAAGGGCTCCAAATAGCAACTGCAGATCCTACAAAAAGTGTATAAAAAATGCTAAATCAATAGAAAGTTTCAACTCCGTGAGATGTATGCACACATCAGAAAGAAGTTTCTCAGAATGCTTCTCTCTAGTTTTTATGTGAGGATATTTCCTTCTCCACCATAGGACTCAAAGCACTCCAAATAACCACTGGCAGATTCTAGAAAAAGAGCGTTTCAAAACTGCTCAATCAAAAGAAATTTTCAAATTTGTGAGATGAATGTGCACATCACAAAGAAGTTTCTCAGAGTAATTCTGTCTAGTTTTTATGTGAAGATTTTTCATTTTCCACCATACTCATCAAAGCATTCCAAATATCCACTTGCACATTCTACAAGGAGATTGTTTCAAAACTGCTCAATAAAAAGAATGGTTCAACTATGTGAGATGAATGCAAGCATCACAAAGAGGTATTTCAGAATGGTTCTGTGTAGTTTTTGTGTGAAGATATTTCCTTTACCACCATAAGCCTCAAAGAACTCCAAATATCCACTTACAGATTCTACAAAAAGAGTGCTTCAAAACTGCTCAACCAAAAGAAAGGTTCAACTCTTTGTGATGAATGCACACATCACAAAGTAATTTCTCAGAATGCT